>NC_000006.12:16575151-16726666 GCF_000001405.40 Homo sapiens
AAACTTTTATTTTTCTCCTTGTAATTACTAAATGTTTGGGGTAGGGATATTTTAAAATTCTACGAATTTCCTGTTTCTGCATATACTTTTGCCCGCTCATTCTAATCCATCTAATCCACATCTGCCCATCTAATGCATCCATCGGTGGGACTTTCTCGTGGCAATTCTTACTATGAGTTCTAATGATGTTTTCATACTGCTTCCTTCCTCGTTTGTTTATTAACTGAAATTCTGCTGCAGGGAAGAGTCATTCCTTTTCCCTTATTTATTTATTCATTGGACTCGTTGGATATTTTATTCTTTGGGTTATAATCCAGCATTTATTTCCTTACCCAGTTATTCTAAGCTGTAGCTAGATATTCTACCATTTCAGAGCAGACACAGCCACATTGTGTCCTGTGTTACAGGTTGTCCCTCATGTCTTAAGACAAGAACAGGCACACAGCGGGTATTCAGCTCATCTGTTCATTCATTTGACAGGTTATCTTGAGGGCCTTGTGTTAGGTGTTAGAGTTACAAGAAATAAAACAATTCCTCTGTCCGAGTGGTTTACAGCCTAGTTAGAAGAGACCTACAGGCACATTTGCAAGTCCTTATTAAAAGTATTAGGCAAGTACAGCAATGGCCCAGAAGAAAACATAGTCAACTCTACCTGGAGAAAAAGGGGTGTGGCAATTGGTAGGCAGGAAAGACTTCCTTAAGACCAAGCAGCATCCTGCTTCCCTTCTATTGTACTGCTTGCTCTATAAAAATCAATGGGCATATAAAATTTCTAGAGACACACGCCATCACACAGTTAGCAGGTACTCCAAGCCCCTGAATCTTCTAAACTAATTCCCCACATCAAACCTCAAGGGCACACTATTTAGGAAGATTTAATGCAATAAACTCAGACTCTTTATATAGTGACTATGTGCTTTTCTAGGAAAATTGGAAACAGCTAAGGTAAAAAAAAAAAAATCTGAAAAGTCATTTGTCTTAATCCAGTCTTCAAATCCAATTTCATCGTTTTTATTCCTTCACAGGGAATAATGAAGAGCAAATAAGGAATATCATCAGAGAAAGATGGACTCCCTAAGTCTCTTTACTTAATTCAATTTTCTTGTACTGCTCTTACAGTATTTTCCAAACAAAGCTGTTCTTTTCTACATATGATAGTTCAGCCCAGCAAATGTCCTCAGGAATAATAAACAAACAGTGGGGGCATATTTTCTGCCACAAATTACACTCTGCAACATTCTTCATCCAAAGCATTTTCAATTCCAAGCAAGCAAAGACACAAGGAAAATACACTGCCTTATTACAAGAACTGCACACAATAGAGAATCTGTATTCAGACACTTATTGACACTTAAACCTGTTAATATGTAACTCCTACTATTGTTCTAAAGGATGAATAAGCAAATTCTCCTGCACATATAATGTTACATCATGCACTTTAATTACAATAGTAAATACTGCCGAAAGGAATTTTACTTTCACTGTTTCATATCACCTTTTCTAATTAATGTCAATGTGTCTTTTCCATGTAAGAGAGCATACAGCAGAGGCACATATGTGTTGTGTCTTTGTGTATCTGCCCAAATGTACACATATTCATGAATGCACATACAAATAAGCTCTTATGCACACAGAGTAACCCCCATGTTAGCATGCATTTATAAATACAGCTGGCCCCACCCCGAGCATGCATGGAGTATACACAAACAGCATAAAGGCCAGTTGACTTCCTTTTGCTTTTATAGGAGATTGACATAAAAAGCTAAAAAAAGACAAGTAGACACTTCATGGAGCCTGTGATTAAGAGAGAAGCTAATGAGACAGATGGGCTGATGCATAAAGGGAACTTCAGCACACCAGCCCACACTCAGTAAAGATTTACCGTGCTTCACTGTCTCCGTTTCAGTCTTCATCATGTGGCATGCTACTTACATTACTCTTGTCCCCAGACCACAGACACACCCCGCTTTTCTCTGCCCAGACCTCCCTAAATTAGGATTATCAAATGACACAAGATAGCAGTCTTCTGCTTTAATGTTGTTATTCAAGGTTTACTCACAGGCAATATTTACTATAAAATCTTGTGGTTTGGCCGGGCACGGTGGCTCATGCCTGCAATCCCAGCCCTTTGGGAGGCCGAGGAGGGTGGATCACCTGAGGCCAGGAGTTCGAGACCAGCCTAGCCAACATAGTGAAACCCCATCTCTACTAAAAATACAAAAATTAGCCAGGTGCAGTGGCGCACACCTGTAGTCCCAGCTACTTGGGAAGCTGAGGCAAAAGGATTGCTTGAACCTGGGAGGCAGAGGTTGCAGTGAGCCGAGATCGTGCCATTGCACTCCAGCTTGGGCAACAGAGCAAGACTCTGTCTCAAAAAAAAAAAAAAAAAAGGAAAAAAAATCATGTGGTTTACCGCTTAACAGAGAGTGGACAATTCTGTTACAGGGCTTACCAGAATATTTTTGGAAAAATTCTGTAAACATAGAAGAATTTCTGAGCCAGAAAAATGAGAAGCAGAAAAAATAATTCATATGAATTTTTAAATTTTTATACAATAGATTTTGCCTCTGATATGACTGCTTCTCTAAGCTATTTCCACATGTGATTACTGTCTCTGAGAGCTCACTCCATGCCATAAGAAATTGCAGAGTTATAGAAATAGCATATGTAGAGGGCTCTACAATTTACAAAACATTTTCAATGCATTATCTCATTTGATCATCACAATACCCCTGTGAGACAGATATTATAATTATTTCTATTTTATAGAGATGCGGAAAAAACCCTCAGATTTTGAGTGATTTCCCTAAGGTCACAAAGCTGATAAGTTGCAGAACTGAGATTCAAAACTAGAATTTCTGATATTGTATTTCATTTTCTCCCACTACATTAATTTTATTACATTTTTCTTGAATTCATTTTTGGTTCTATTTTATAATAGTAGACTCTATAAATTCTGCTCATTACATAAACATTTTATGTGCTTCTAAATGAAACTGACTCTTTAATCTCTAAATTTTTTGGTAACGTTCTATTTTCTGGTTAAACTAAAATGCCCAGGTTCCCTTATCATCTGCTTTCTTTATTCCCTGGAATCTTCCTTTTGAGAGATATGATGTTCCATTATCTGAGGATCTGAGGATTTCTAACTATGTTGACAAATCTTCCTTTTGCTTTTTAAAAACTGTTGCTGCACATATTGCTGAGTAGCTTTCAAATTTATCCACTACGACTTCCACGCTCATATCCTAATATTTATCACAATGGCTACCCCATTCCAGAAAATCTGAAGAGTTCTACATTTGTACTCAACCACATCTACTTCTCGAATCTTCTTTCTCTGTCACTGTTATTCCCAAGATCCTGGAATTAAACAGAAGAGTTTTCCTTTCTGGTCAGTCAGTTCATCCTTCCAGAGCCAGCCCAAAGGGTGCTTTAACATCACTCCTTCTCAGCTGAGTACTTTCTGATGTTATAACATGCTTACCTACAACACTATCTTATGCAGGGGGCAAAAGGAAGAGGTAGCTTTAAAAAGACAGATCCATTTATGTGCCAGCACAGCCTGATAACTAGAGTAGCAGGAAAAAGAGAAAAAAAAAAAAATCACAAGACGATAGATCAATGGGACATTAGATAAGCCCCCCTTTTTGGGGTGTGTGTAGGGGATTCTTGACTGTGGTCACTATATTCCAGCAGTGACACAAGTTAGAGCTTCTGGGGCTGAAGTCCGCATTGTCTAAACAGGACAGTCAGACTTTGGGGCAAACCATCCTCCCATCTTATTGCCCAATTCCACTTTCCCTGCTGTTTTAATGGGATTATTTTGGAATCTGCTATTTCTGTCTCACTCCTTTTCCCCAAACTGTCATATAAGTACTGCAGCTTGACTACTTCCCAGCTGCCAAATTTCACTCCAGAGATGGCTGTATTTCAGTGGCAAGTGAAGTGATGATCCCTCTGTGTCATCGAAATACTCATTTAAGGGGTTAAGCATCTGGAAGAGGGTTGCCTTTGTGCATGAACAGAGTGTTTTTGTTTTGGTTTGTTTTATTGTCTATCCTGGAGAAGGAGGTCATTAGCTCCACCTGAGCAAGATGGAAGACACACACCAAAAAACACTCTATGCAGCCACTAAAATGCACGGGGAAAACAGAAACAGTGACCGCTTTTCATAGGTTCTTTTCCACAGGGACTTCAAAGTCTTAAAGCATCAAGGTTGCAAAATGATGGTAATTTTTAGAGGTGGAAGAAACCTCTGAGAGCAAACCACTCATGTTACAGATGGAGAACTTGGAAGCACAGGGTCACTGAGTACCTTGGTCAAAGCCCCCCCCCCCCACCCGCCGATTCATTCCCAAGTCCAAGGGCGTTTCACTTGAATTTTGAATTTGGCTTTATCTGCAGACACACTCAGAGTATCACATCTCCGTCAGTCAAGTCAAGCACAGACCCAGCTTCTAAAGCACACGGCATCAGCACTGAATTCTTGTTTTGTTTGGCTATGTTTATTTGTTTAGGTACTCAGGAAAATCTCCACCAGGAAAAAATACAGGGTGTTGAACAGAGGGGGAACAGAACACAGTAGATACAGTAGCAAGAAATGTTTATTGAGCATTGACTATGTGCCAGGCCAGGCAATGTTCTCAGGTTTATATGTATACAATTCTGACAGTGGCTCTGTGGCTCCCATTTTAGAGAGAGAGAGAGAGAGAAGAATGATTATTTTGGAAGAGAAAACAAGAGGGACAGCATATAATTGCCAACTCAAAAAAAAACTACCTTCCCAAATTTTACTAAAACATTCAGCAAAAATCTAAAAAATTACCAGTGATATACTTCTCACTTATTCTGAAGAGATGATCCTTCTTAATACTTTTGGCATATAGCTGCTTCTTGCTAATAAAAAAAAAGTACTTCCAAGATGTTCTGTATATTATTTCCAAATCTTATAACAGTTGTTTCAACAATCAGTGAATGAATGATTCACTATTTGAACACTGATGAAATGAGAAGCACTAATGATATTCAGGGAGCACAGATCTTGAGTTAGGGAGAAAGGGAACTGGATGTTCATTTTCTCTTCCACCGCTGAATCCTATAATGTCAAAAGCTCTCCTATCTCACATTCCTGAATTTAGAAAACATATTTAAATGCTTCATTTCATTTGATAACCTCTAAGAGAAAAAAATAGTGATTTGAAAAGTACCATAGAATACTGTCATTTTGATAAAGCTGTATGAAAGTTGGATTTCTACCTCGAGTTTTGCCCGCACTTTGAGTAGTATGGTTTGCCAACATTGAAAGCAGCATTAGTGTAGCAGGGGAAGGTCTGTGCAGCAGTCTGCTTTAGGGTAGCAATAAGAAAGACAAAATTGTAAGCTTTGATATCAACCATTTTCTAATGTGTTTTAAGAGTAAACACAGATGATGGAATAGTCTACCTTATTTCATGAGAGTTATTACAACTATGTGAATGTTTCCATACTGACACCAGAAATCATATTATTTATAAAACTTTCAAAGAATAAAATGCTTCATAAAGAAGCCTGGTAAGTTATTTTAAAACTTTAAAGTATCCAAAATAGTTTAAAAGCTACGCCTACATATAAAACACAATATACTCTTGAATCTTTGACCCTACATTTTTTCGCTTTTCCTAAAAAAATCATTAAATGTCTCAAAATAATGCCTTTACCCAAACTGGCTATGAATTATGGAGGCTATCTACAGATTGAAGGAAGGGTGGGAGAAAAGGGAAGGGCATATTTATGCTGAAAGATAAATTTTGGGGAAGTCTGTGTTTTAAATACTTAATATCAGTAGGATTTTCTTAACCTTAGAAATGTACATTTCAACCTTTTTCATTTCATTTTCAACCTTATGATATAGATGTAGTCGAAGGGTTGAGAGGGACTCACAACCCTACAGTTTTTCTTTTTGTGTTTCTGTAGGATAAAGGAAACATTTCCTAAGAGCTGAGGGGCGGGGTGGGTTACATACGGTGCCTGAAGGGGAAAAGACCCCATGTTCGAGAATGCACTGTGTGTGTGTGTGTGTGTGTGTGTGTGTGCGCGCGTGTGTGTGTGTGTGTGTGTGCTGGGTGGGTGTGTGGATGGGGAGTAGGGGATGATATGGGCAACTCAACTGGACATGTTAAAGAAAGAAGAAAACATCTGGGTAGAGTACGTGGTGGATGTTTGAGGGCCCGAAGAGAGCAGCTGACCAGGGAGGGATACAATAGAGAAAAAGGTTCGTCAAAGACAGTAAATCCGAAGCTAAAAATGCAGCCTTTACCAAATGCAGGTCAAGGCCTAAGGAGATAAAAGAAATCTCTGAGCAGAGCCTGTTATTTAAGAGACCACTAAAAGCACCCAGGAATGGAGGGAGGAAGGTAAGAAGAACCACAATCCCACAAACAATGCTGAGTGGAAGGGTACCAAATAGTAAAGAGGTCAAGATGTGACAAATGGAGGGGCTATTATTTAGATCTGGAACCTAAAATCTGTTTAAAGTGAACTAAATAAAGTTAATTATGCATGTGCACAAAAGGTAGGATTAATTATATAATTAATCTCACTCTCTGAGGTGAATTATAGTGGGTAAAGTAAGAAAAAGGATATGGTTAATAAGAGAACAAGGTACACGTGTTCTGGTGCACCTCGATTCTTCCTTTGGGTGGTTAAGAAAAATCACCATACTGTGATAAAGACACGGTGACATCCATCTTTCTAACATGTTTGTAGAGTTATAAAAAGTAAAAGACTCATTTCACAATTTCTTAAGGATATGGATTGTCAATAAGATGCATCATTTACATTACCTAAATTGAGAGATGAGTAGCCCGATGATCTTTACTGGCCCTAGCAACTGTGCATTCGAGGGGTGTTAGACAGTACGCTTCTCTCCTTACCTTCTTCATTTCCTGGCCTGGTCCGGCTGTCAACAATCACAACCTCATTGTCAGTCCCTGACTATTCTCTGGTTCTTTCTGTTCTATGCCTTCCAGATCAACAGGTCTGTCTCCCCTGGTTTCTCCAGTTTCCAATTTCAGATGCACCTCTTGCCTCCTTTTAGAATGGTCCAGTTCATCTCCCCTGTTCCCCCAAACCAGTTATGATGGTGTTGACTGTATCTCCCTGAGAACTGTAAACTCCATTAGGGCCAGTCTTTTGTCAATCTTGTTTTCCTCCATTATCTTCAATGCCCAGCCCTATACTGGGACATAGCTGCCCCTAAAAAGGCCTTTGCTAAATTAATAAATGAGTGAGGAATGACTGAATGGGATTAAAATTAAAGACCTTGTCTCAGTTTCTCACAATTCAAAAGTTGTGCTTTAACTTTGTGCTGGCAAAATCCTAAGACACCCCAAAGTCCCCATGGGACTTTGCGAACTAAGATTTCAACAATGATTCTGCCTGGTCTTGCAGATAGGTCTTGTACATGAATGCAAAAATGGTGTGGGCAACCATGTGCAGTATATGGAAACAACCAAAAACTGCTGACCACAGATCTGAGGTCACAGCACAATTAATATGGTTAAGTATTTCCCACTCTCCTGTCTCCCTAGAGAAATTTATTCTGGTAAGCCCTTGACAACCAACACGTCTGCATTTCTGCACACCAGCCAGTGATCCACAGCAAGAGAATCCTTTCTTCCTCTCTGAGTCTTTATTGATTTTGTAGTTTGGGAGGAAGCTAAGTGCTATTCAAATACCAAATGTTCCATATGGTAGTGTTATTACCATTCCCACTACCGTTACTTGAGGCCTTCTACCTACACTCATGAGGTGCCTCATCAGAATCTGGCAGAACATTATGAACTCTTTTCCTGACCTATATTTGCTAACACATTTGTTGTCCTCTCTCCCTCTATGAACTTATTAATTTTGTTGAAATAATATACATGTGTGTATAAATCCAAGTTTTGTTTTCTTATTCATCCTCATAGTCACAGGGGAATGATTTATGACACATTAAGGAGGTATTCTTAAGCTAACATGTCTTAATTAGGAATTCAGATATTCCTCTTCTGCTGAGAAATACAGAGCTGTTCAAATTAGACCAGAAATTAGGGCCAAAACGAATGCAGCGTCTACATACACAAGCTCATAGCAGGGTAACCAGTGAAAGGCAGAGGCTGAAGCCGTACACGTCGTTCTGTGTTTGTCTCCTTCATGCCAAATGATTCTTTGACCACTTTTCCTTTCACTTTTCAACGTTACGATGGAGCCAAAGGGTCAAGAGATTCACAAACCTACAGCCTTCCCCTTCATGCATCTGTAGGATAAAGCATGCGTTTCCTAAGAGCTGGGTGTGGCGGGGGGGTCTCTTCATCTACCTTCTCTTTCATTTATTTAGTGAAATGAAGCTTATTTAGTAATGACGGGAAGAGATGAGCCAACTAGGGCAGCTCACATATGGTGCCAGACGGTGAGGGACTCTGTGCCCAAGGCACTTGCTGTACCACAGGAGCTAGGCAGCCCTGGCTGGGAAGGAAGCTCTGCTCTCACCCAACGGCTGCTCCAAGGGTGCCCCCAGCCAGGTGATCCAGACAGCCATGGTTTCAAAGCTCTGTGAAAAATGGGTCTCTGACTTGAAAACTTGAATCAGGAAGTCTCTCCAGGACTGGGATTACTCCACTAATACAAATTAAATCCATTCAGAAGTATGCTAAACCCTTTTTGTAGATACTAGAGGAGGATGAAAAGAGGGAGGAAAGAGAGGCAAAGTAATTTTGGAAGATTAGGATTATACTATGGTTCATGCCAATACCCTACATTTGTTTACTTCTATATTGATCATTTTCTCAAATGATTAAATACTCCTGAAATAGGAGTTTTAACGATTTTAAACATTTCATATATATTATTTGCAGCAACACCCAAGGGAGAAGGGTACTATTATTATCCGAATTTTACATGCAAAGTAACTTGCCCAATGTCACACTTCAAGAAAACAGCAGAGCTGGAATTTGAGCCCAGGCAGCCTGAAGCTTGCAATCTTATCTACAGCTTTTCCATCATATGGCACTAACATAGTTATATTTAATCATGTTCCCGATATTGGACATATATATATATATATATATACACACACACACACACACACACACACACATATACACATATATATATATACACACACACATACATATATAGGCACATACATATTTTTAAACTAATGAGCAGTATAACTTCAGATACATATCTAATAAAATTTTTTTATTAAATACCTTTTTGCTCTTTTTAAGAAATGAAAAATTATGCTTTCCACTGAAAAATGATTGTATCTAGTGATTTCATAGTTGTCTAAAAATACTTGGCCAGAAAGGAAGAACTTAAAATTCCCTAGGACCCTTCTACTCCTTCTGGATTTAATATTATTTCTGAAATGTCGAAATCTGGTAAGTTTCAAGGATGCTGCTGTCTAATGGAGGAAGGTTCTACAAAACAGTACAATTTACTTGACTTACAAATGACCCCCCCCACCCCCAAAACCCAAAATACATGGAAACACCATTTTGCATAATCAGTCAGCAAAAAACTCTTTTTGTTTTCAAAATTCTCAGCATTGGAAAACTGTATTAAGTAGACGCTCTCATAAACTGCCTCTGGAAATACAAACTGGTATGACTTTACTGAAAGTAATTTGGCAACAAGTTACCAAAAGCCGTAAAACTTGAAAACTCTTACATTTACCAGTATGCTGCTAAGAAATTAGCCTAAGGAAATAATTTGTAATGGGAACTAATACAGAGCTATAAGAATATTTTTGGCATCATGAAAGCAATAAAATGTCTGGGTGTGGTGGATCACGCCTGTAATCCCAACACTTTGGGAGGCTGAGGTGGGAAGACTGCTTGAGGTCACGAGTTTGAGACCAGCCTGGGCAACATGGCAAAACCTCATCACTATATAAAAAAAAAAAATACAAAAGTTAGCCAGGCATGGTGATGTGCACCTGTAGTCCCAGCTATTAATACTTGGGAGGCTGAGGTGGGAGGATCACTTGAGCCTTGGAGGTGGAAGCTGCAATGAGCCAAAATCATGCCACTGCACTCCAGCCTGGGTGACAGAGTGAGACCCTATCTCAAGAAAATAAAAAGGCAAAAAAATTAGAAACGGCTAACTGTCCAGTTAGAAGGGATATAAATTAAATAAATTTTAGAATGTTTACTCAATGGTATACTAATCATTAATAACTATACGGTAGAAAAATATCTGTTGCTATGAAAGATGTTCAGAATTATATTGTTAAGAGGAACAATACTCTTAATAATCTCTACTACTTCTACAATCTCTACTACCATTTGATGTTTGTCTCTCTAAGTGAATTTATAAATCTATAAATTTATAAATGCCTTCAGAATTATCAGCAATGCCTTGTCATCTATCCTAACTAGTGACCTCAAAATAAGTAGAAGTTATTTCCTTTCCCATAAAAAAGCAAGGGTTCCATTTTTATAAAAGAGACAGTAGGAAAAAATGGAGTCTACATGAATAGACATGTGTATGTTGTGTGTGTATGTTTGTGTGACCAGATATGTATACACCCCCACCACTATCTTGGGGACTTTACAACTCAATGATAATTATTTTCCTTTAAAGCTTTTGGAGATGTTTACCTGTACCATGTGCTTTCATCACAATGGAGAACCATAAGCTATCAGTTCCTTGCAGCAGATCTTTTCACGAAGATTTTGCTTGAGTAGAAAGGGTGGCAGTGGAGAATCTCAGTGTAAAACGCCTAGACCTGTAATTATAAAAACAATATTCTCACTGAGTTAGGCTGCTTCTGTGGTCTTCATTCACATTCGCTGAAGTCACAGAAACGGGAAACATCATATTGCATAATCTCTCACACACACATGCACACACGCAAGCATGCGCACACACACACACACACACACACAAGGTTTTTAAATCAGAATGTCAAAAACTCAGCAGGCAGAGACACAGCAGGTCCCTATCCCCAGGGATGAGTGGGTTCTGGCCAGGGGTTGCTTCCCACCCCATCTCCTCCCCTTGAGGACACCACTATCAAAATAATCCCGTTCCTGCCCCTCCTTCCCTGCTCAATGATTCTAAGATTTCTAAGAAATAACAAGCAGTCAGTTCTTCATAGAAAATGTCAGAAACATTGCTGAATTTGATGCTCTCTTTCTCTAAGACTCCTTCTAGCCACAAAATTATGCAAATTCAGTGCATGTATTTACCATTCCGGCCTCACTTTCACTTTTGAAACTACACATGCCTCTTTGTTAATAACTCAGTTAAGACATGATGTCAGTGATGGCCAAGGTCATCACGAACATTGATTAAACATTTACTATGTTCTGGGCCATGTGCTAAGGGCTTTACACACATTGCCCCACTCCACTGCAGTCTGTGAGGTGGCCAGGAATCATGTTTACCTCTGCATTATTGACAAGAAAACTGACAGTAAATACAGCCAACGGATGTTAAAGCCAGTACTTAAGCCAACAGTTCACAGAGGTCATGCTTAGGATTCTAGTACTATACCATCTCTTCAAGGCTGATCTTTCTACCAACACTTCTGTAGTTAGTATTAAAACATATCGGGGCTGGGGCATGGTGGCTCATGCCTGTAATCCCAGCACTTTGGGAGGCTGAGGTGGGCGGATCATGAGGTCAGGAGATCGAGACCATCCTGGCCAACATGGTGTAACCCCATCTCTACTAAAAATACAAAAATTAGCCACGCATGGTGGTGCGTGCCCGTAATCCCAGCTACTCAGGAAGCTGAGGCAGGAGAATCACTTGAACCGGAAGGCAGAGTTTGCAGTGAGCTGAGATCATGCCACTGCACTCCAGCCTGGTGACAAAGCAAGACTCTGTCTCAAAAAAAAAAAAAGTATCAAATCACTATCACCTCATTTTTCCCAGAGGGTTATGTCACCTAGTCTTAAAATTACTATTATTTGTTTTGGATTTGACTGTACTTTGATTTTAATTCCCAAGCTCAAGTGAAACCGACATGTTCATATTTCAACTGAGTGTAAGTTGGTGGTTATTTTAGTAAATTAAAAATGCTAAGTAATCCCAAATCCAGATGCCAAAACACTAAGCAGAAACCTAAAATCCACGTCCTGCCTAAGCGGCTAAATTTCATTAGAAACAAGTCAGATGATAACATCAAAAGGCATATATGAATTCCAAAGTAAAGATATGAAAATGAAGAGAGGAATTTCGATATCTAATACAGCCATGTCTTAAAAAATTCTTAAACATGTTTACCTGTTCACAAAGTCTACATACTAATACAGATCTTAGAATCACTGCAACACAAAATGGATATGAGCATATCAAGAAATCAACAAAATTATGTATGGGTCCCACAATAACTCTCCTTTTGTATATGTGTAGGCATTTATTTGCACTATTTTTGTTATGCCTCTGCCTTTGCATATGACACTCCCTTTGATTAACATGCTTTGCCTCTCCTTGCCATTTAGAAAATTCCTACTCATTTTTCAGCTGGACACAGTGGCTCATGCCTGTAAATCCAGCACTTTGGGGGGCCAAGGCGGGAGGATCACCTGAGGTCAGGAGTTCGAGACCAGCCTGGCCAACATGGTGAAACCCCATCTATACTAAAAAAAAAAACTAGCCAGGCATGGTGGTGGGCGCCTGTAATCCCAGTGACCCGGGAGGCTGAGGCAGGAGAATCGCTTGAACCTGGGAGGCAGAGGTTGCAGTAAGCTGAGATCGTGCCATTGCACTACAGCCTGGGCATCAACAGCGGAACTCTGTCTAAAAAAAAAAAAAAAGAAAATTCCTACTCATTTTTCAAGGCCAACCTTGAGCTTAAATAGCTTAAATTCCATTGTGATGTCATCCTCATCTATCCCCTAATGTTTTCTGGAAATCTAAGCAGAATAGATTCTGCCTCACCTACGTTTCCTAGCTCAGTGATGGCATCAACATCACTCTGACGTCTTCCTCTCCCAAATTATGCCCCATATTCAACCATGCAGCCATACTCCTCAACTCCCTCCGCTCCTCTCCGGCACCACCCTGGCTCATCTGGACTCTTTCCCTGGCCCCCTAACACGTCTCCCCGCGTCCACCCTGCCACCCTACTACCTTCCTTGGCTCCTGCCTAAGGCATTGCAGTGGCTTTCCATTTCTAAACATGGCCCCCAAAACCTGCATTCTCTTCCAACTTGCACTACAGCATGGCTGGCTTACTTTCAATTCCTTAAAAGGACCTTGCTTTCCCAGGCCTTAAAGCCTTTGCACATGACTTCCTCCTTGCTAAGACTTCTCCTCAAATCACCCACCCCTTCTATCAAATGACCTTGTATTCTTTTCTCCTTCAGCTCTCAGCTCAGTCCTCTTCTCAAGGGAGACTTCCTCAGCCAGGTCACCACCTCCTAGGACACACTTGTATAGAATGACCCTCCCTGGTTATAGTAGTCATTTTGTAACTTTTACATTTTTTGGTTGATTCATTGATTAATGCTTGTTTTCCCCCACGAATCAATAAACTCCAGAAAGGGAGAACTGTGTCCACTCTCACCCCTCCTTTCATCTTTGGGATTCAATGGAAAGCTTTGCACATTATGGGCACTCAATAAAATCTTCTGAGTGAATAAATGAGCCAAAGAAGGAGGGAAGGAGGAAGGGAGGGAGGAAGGTAGGAAGAAAGGAAGGTCATCCCTTAATCATACTGATTTAATTAGTGTTGATTGGATTCATCTGTAAATCGTTTTCCAGCACACAGAGTATGACATCTACATTCCTTTGGGTAACATGCAAGGCTCCTTGAGCTCTGACCCCAGCCAGCCGGGTCTCTCCTCCTGCTGCACTTGACCCTCAGCACCTCCAAGTCCCTCCCTGTAGCTCCCTGACCCCATCTTGTTTCCCTCATCTCCACACCCTTCTCTCTTCTGTTCCCCCCACACATCATCTTTTCAAACTCACTCAGTCTTCAAGTCTCAGGGCTGGGGACGCTTCTCTGTGAAAAACTCCCTGACACCTTCTGGGAAGTGGGGGCCCTTTTCTCTCATTTTTCTACAACCCCTGTACCTATCCCTATTAAAGCAATTATCATATTTTCCTGTACTTGTTCCTTAACCAAGTCCATCTCTCCCACCACAACCTAAGTCCCTTAAAGGCAAGAAAGAGGTATCCCCTCATCATAGTACCCCAGAGTTTCGTACAGCAGCGTGGCACATAAATTAACAACAACAAAAAAAAGAAATGTGTGTATATACACGCACACATATATATTATATAATCTACATTTATATATTATATATACATACTTATATATTATATATACATCACACACATACACACACGTTTCATACTGCAAAGTTCCAGAGCTGGGCATCTGAAATATACGATTAATAGAGAATGTTATTATTAAATGTGGTAAGGCATAATGATTACAAATTCATCTGTGAAACGGGCTAATAACACCTACCTCACAGGGTTGTTACGAGAGTTAACTAAGCTACATAAGTAAAATGTTTAGCACAGAGCTCAGTATACTGGAAGCACTCCATAAATATTAATTGTACAGCCATTATCACTATCAGTATTGTTAGGGCAACTAAGCTGAATTTACAACTTATGGGTAAAATGTAACAGTTTTATTTGCCAGTATCTTTCATATTAAAGCATTAATTAGCATTAGCATCTGTGTAAGAACATAAAATGCCTAGAAAGGAGCTCAGAAAATTAAGGATAAAGAAGAGTCTTATCCGTTGCAACTGAAGGACTAATGATTGTTTCGGTAATCTGTGATATATGTGTGAAGGAAGCAAAGCATCAACAACAAAGCATTTCTGTACAAAAATTATCTATGAAGTCTAAATGACAGAAACTACACATATCGCCATTCAAGTGCTGTAAACATTGAGCTGACGTAATTATAAATACTTACTGTAAGCTATTTCTTTTGCTAAAAAAAAAATTAGAGATGCATATTCATCCACTTCTGTTAATTACTGGACAGAGTAATGTGACTTCATAAATAAATACTAAGGATTTGACTAATGAATATGCCATAAAATGTCTGAATTAATAGCAAGCACATTTCATATGTGGTCTATTAGATGCTATTCTAATTTAGAATTGCAGAAATTTAATGAAATAGACTGCAAACAGGAAAATACAGGCAAGACTATTTTGCAATGCACTTTGGAAAAAAAATAAGAATGAATTGTTTACAAATGCTACCAGTACATAGTTGAACAGAATGAACTGGTAATAGTTATTTTACGAAGCAAACTCATAATTCTGCCCTATGTTGCTTTTCTCTTGCATATTGGCCAAATTTAAATAATGCATATTAGAGTTTTATATATTAAGTCCTACTGAAATATAAAGTACTATCATTATTGCATTTTGAGATTTCTATTCTCAATTCACATTTATCACTGATAAAAGATAAAACCCCAAAGCAAATCATTTTTCTGATTGAGGCTTTTCCTCAGAGATACTAGAGTTGTAGGGGAAGTATAAAAATACTAAATTCATAACATTCTTTTTTTTTTTTCTTTGAGACAAGTTCTCACTCTGTTTCCCAGGTTGGAGTGCAGTGGTGTGATGACAGCTCACTTCAGCCTCAACCTCTCGGGCTCAGGTGGTCCTCTCACCTCAGCCTCCTGGGTAGCTGGGACTACAGGCACACGCCACCATGCCTGGCTAATTTTTTAATTTTTTTTTTTTTTTGAAACATAGTTTCACTCCTGTTGCCCAGGCTGGAGTGCAATGGCGCAATCTCCACTCACCATAACCTCCGCCTTCCAGGTTCAAGCAATTATCCTGCCTCAGCCTCCTGAGTAGCTGGGATTACAGGCATGCACCACCACGTCCAGCTAATTTTGTATTTTTAGTAGAGATGGGGTTTCTCCATGTTGGCCAGGATGGTCTCGACCAGCATGTGGTCTCCCAAAGTGCTGTGATTACAGGCGTGAGCCACTGCGCCCAACTATTTTTTTAATTTTTTAGTAGAGACAGGGTCTTGCTATGTCGCCCAGGCTGGACTCAAACTACTGGTCTCCAGCAATCTTCCCACCTAGGCCTCCCAAAGAACTGGGACTACAGGTGTGAGCCACAGTGCCCAGCTGTAACCTATTCATTTACCATGAGACTATTAAACTCCTTTTAAATTGAATTATAATTCTATTCCATGGCCACAGCTATTGACCAGTTTACCCTAAGTATATGGTTCTTTGCAACATAATTAAAATGAGAAGGTAGAATAGACAAAACCAAAAAAGTCTTAATTTGATCATTTTTATTTAAATTTACTATTAATTTCATTACCATGATGCTTATGTTTGCGTCATAACATCTGATGGAATCTTAGTAATATAAGGCAAAATTCTTTGTTCATTATGCTGGTCCTTCAATCAGGGATGTCCTCATTCATTCAAGCATTGCTCTTCCTTTAAGATTCAGCTCGATGTCACTTCCTTTGTGACATGCTCCCATACATATTGTATTTTCCCTGCCGTGTAATGATCTGTCTCCCTTTCTAGACTATGAGCTCCTTAGGGGCCCCAGCGAGGTCTCTGTATTTTTCATAACAAACTGCACAATTCTTTGCACAGAATATACTCTCAGTAAACACTGGTTTGATGTGTGGGTGAATACACACACTTTGATACTCTTATGACTATGGTGAAAAGGCCACTAATTGTGATTTCAACTTAAAGGTTAAAGCCAAAAAAAATCCATTTTTTAGTGAAATGAAACTCTTAGCGTTTTCACTTCCAGATGCATCAGCATTACATAAAAGATGTTGAAACTATTTTAAAAAATAGTCATGCTGCGCATTTTCCTGTCTGAGAATTAGACTGAAAATACCAAATTCCCCAGGGGCCCCTGGGTGTTCTAAAGACAAATGTTCAGTTAGCTATTGATTCCATGCACTCATTTAATGGAAATCCGGAGTAAGACTCAACCTCCCCACCACCAGCCTGTCACTCATTATTCTGCTCAGCTGTTTCAGAATAAGCGACGACTCCCGGGAGAGCTCTGCCCCCCTCCCAGTACTGGCCAGCACTTCAGTGATGATGAATCCGAGCAGCAGAGAATTTCAGTACTCAAAGCAGCAGAACATCAGTCCCAACTTACATTTTCCACTTCCATTGTCATTCTTATTCCTATATGGGCTTATTTCTCACATATCCACCTTTGATTTTTCAAGATCGAACCTTTGAAAAGGTGAGGGCCTGGCTGCCTAACATATTACATCATCACGCATATGCCGGACTCCTGCCTCACTCAGAAGACCACGTGTTGCTCAGAAAAGAAAGGTGGGCACCAAAAGAACAGGTTTCTCATAATATCCTACCCAGGCCCACAGTTAGACGTATTAGTCACTGTTGGGACAATGAATATGGGTTTTCCAAGAGGTGATCAAGCCTTTACTTGATGGATTTTCTTTTCTCCACGCCCCAAGATTTTCTAGGCTTTTGGTAGGAAGCACTATACAGAAAGCACCCACGTCTCCTAGCTGATTCTGTGTCTGGAGTTGGTTCCTTCTGGTGGGTTCGTGGTCTCGCTGACTTCAAGAATGGAGCCGCTAACCTTTGCGGTGACTGTTACAGCTCTTAAAGATGGCACAGACCCAAAAGACTGAACAGCAGCAAGATTTATCATAAAGAGTGAAAGAACAAAGCTTCCACAGCTGGAAAAGAATCTGAGCAGGTTGCACTGGTGGCTGGTGCGGGTGGGGGTGGGGGGTTGGGGGGGGCAGCTTTTATTCCATTATTTTTCCCGTCCATGTCCTGTTTCTGTCCTATCAGAACGCCCTTTTCTCAATCCTCCCCATGATTGGTTACTTTTAGAACCCTGCTGATTGGTCCATTTTACAAAGTACTGATTGGTGCATTTTACAAATCTCTTGCTAGCTACAGAGCACTGACTGGTGCATTTTTACAGAGCACTGATTGGTGCATTTTACAAACCTCTTGCTAGCTACAGAGCACTGACTGCTGCATTTTATAATACCCTTGGAAGACAGAAAAGTTCTCCAAGTCCCCACTCGACCCAGGAAGTCCAGCTGGCTTCACCTCTCAATTCCACTCAGTAGTTACTGTCAGCCTCCCCCTAAAACCTCCACCACTCAAGGAGCGACACTGTCAGAAGCAGACCTTCTAATTACTCCTGTGTGATCTCAAGCCCCCTCCCTGGGGACTATGGAAAGAGAATGTTAGGAAATAGAGATGGAAAAAACAAGCCATAATTCTGACATGCTATCACTTTAAAAATATTTCTATCATGCAATGTTTGTAACCCACAAAAGAATGCACTAACATGTACGTAACCTGTGAAGCATAAGAATAAAATGAACAGGCATACACCGACCACCCTATTTGAGAACTAGACATTTAGGGGTATTTTGATCCATCTACCTATTTGCTATTTCCCTAAGCCATCCTCCTGCCTTCTCTCCAGGGGTAACCACTATCTTAAATTTTCTATCTATCACTCTCTAAAATACATAGTTTAATTGTGCTTGATTTTAAACTTTATAATACTATCATACTGTATATAGTCTTTTGTGACTAGTTTTTTTCACACAATATTGTTTCTAAGATTTAGCCATGTTGTTACAGGTAGCTACTATAGTTCCTTCATATTCACTGCTGTATAATATTCCATTCTGTGAAGCAAAAAATTATATATATGTATGTATGTACGTGTATATGTGTGTGTGCATATATATATATATATATATATAAAGGTTCTCAATAGACTAATATATATATATATTAGTCTGGAGAGATAGAAGCTAATACATATATTAGTCCAATTATTATACATATTAGTCTAATTATTATATATTAGACTAATATATGTCTATAGAGATAGAAGCTAATATACATATTAGTCAAATTATACATATTAGTTCAATTATTATATATTAGACTAATATATATTAGTCTACAGGGATAGAAGCTAATATATATTAGTCTAATTAATATATATATTAGTCTAATTGTCATATATTAGACTAATATATATATATATGTCTGTTGACGACCTTTAAAATTTTTTCAGCTTCGTTTTTTTTTCTATTAGAAACAATGCTGTGTCCATTAGGAACAATACCCATCAGCATAAGTTTCCCTGGGTTATTGCCTAGGAATGGGTCTATGAATATTCACTGTTAAACAATAGTGCCAAATTGCTTTCCCAAATGACTATATCAACCTACACTCCCACCAGCAGTGCACCCCACCATTTTTTAAAACTGATAAATCATTTCAGAATCAAGAAAGAGATCTATTTGTGCTGAAGTTGGTGTTACAGGCTCAAATTCCTTTTTTTCCTTTTTTTTTTTTTATTTATTTATTTTTTGAGACGGAGTCTCATTCTGTCGCCAGGCTGGAGTGCAGTGGCACGATCTCGGCTCACTACAGCCTCCACCTCCTGGGTTCAAGTGATTCTCCTGCCTCAGCCTCCCGAGTATCTGGGACTACAGGTGCGCACCACCACCCCCACCTAATTTTTGTATTTTTAGAAGAGACGAGGTTTCACTATGTTGGCCAGGACGGTCTGGATCTCTTGACCTCGTGATCCGCCTGCCTCGGCCTCCCAAAGTGCTGGGATTACAGGCGTGAGCCACCGTGCCCAGCCTACAGGCTCAAATTCTAAATATCCATAAAGAAATAAGCATCCTGTCCCTGTCTCTCACATTGGTGAGTTTATACTTTGTTCAGCACTAAGCATAACAAACGAGAGTTACTTCGTAAGATGACGGTTACTTTACCACCTTCAAACATGGCATTAACTAATGACTTAGATTGGACTGAGGGTTAATAATTTGAAGACTCCCCATGACCTTCTTTCCTAGTCATTCAATTCTTAAGCAAGGTGGATACCAAAAGTGTCCAAAAATGCCCTAGCGTACATGAAGTGCCAGGGGCCAAAACCACCCACTTAGAACAGGAAATCATGTACAAATATAAGTACCTCAAGCTTGTGAAATTGAGAGACTTCTTTATTTCCTTCACTATTAGAAGCAGAGGAAGAGAGGGCTGATTAGATGGGGGGAAGGCTTAGCTTTTATTTTAAAATAGCAAAATCGAAAAACTTTGTAATTAGATTTTGCCAGACTTAGGCTTAAAGGAAAATGATTCTTTCCTCTCCAAAAGAATAAGGTCAGAGCCTAAGACTCCCAAACCTTTGGTCCTGGCTCAAAGGGTGAGCTACGAATCGGCCCGTTCTTCATCATCCTCCTACATATACCTATAGATCTGTCTGGGCATGAGTACAGAATTGGCAAATACAGGGTATGAGAAGAGACAACGATAAAACGGACAGAATGTGGTACTGTTCAAATGTTAAGAAGTGTCAGGAAAGCACCACAGCTGACGCTGAAGTTAATCTGGAGGGGAACTAATTTACCTTCTTTAACACAAGTGGAGATGAGGGCAACAGTCTGTGAAACACAGTCAGTGTGTTCTTTCTCCATTATGGTCTCTTTCTTACTGGTTAACTACAAAAAGCAAGGAAATGGCTGAAAGGCAGGCAGTGAGGGGAGAGGGAGGAATGAGAGACTTTCACCTGTACGAAGGATGTCTCTGGAAAACGGAATGTTGACAGAGAGTAAACAAGCAACATATGCTATTAATGCCTGTTAAGTCACCTTTTTGAGATTTTTTGGTGACTATCAGTGAAGTCTTATGCCTCTTATTAAATTCTCACACTGTTTTAATTAAGTAGGGCCTTATTTTAATCACAGTGGTGGTGCCTTCTCGTTTTAAGCTAGTGAGCTGGAACCCAGCCAGGCAGTGTTAAACAGGAGCGAGAGACTTTCCTTCTTCGTCAAGGAAGCTTTTGCAGCCCCGTTATTTTGTTTTTTTATTTTTCAGAGACTGAATCTAGCTCTGTCACCCAGGCTGTGCAATGGCACGATCATAGCTCACTGCAGCCTCTAACTCCTGGGCTCAAGCAATCCTCCTGCCTCAGCCTCCAGAGGAGCTGGGACTACAGATGCACGCCTCCATGCTTGGCTAATTTTTACTTATTTTTTGTAAAGACGAGGTCTCTATCTTGCCAAAGCTGATCTTGAACTCCTGGCCTCAAGCAATCCTCTCATCTTGGCCTCCCAAAGTGCTGGATAACAGGTGTGGCCACCGTGCCCAGCCTCAGACCTCCTTTTCTCCCCTATCCAAAGCCTGGTAAACAAAGTGAGCTGATTTGCATATCTAAAATCGGGTGCTGGATGCCTGCAAATATGATAGGGAAATATGTATTTGGAACCTCAGGTGAAACCCCAGCAAAAACATTAAAATCATCACATTTGAAGGAGCCCTTTGTAATGCTGATATGTAAAGATCCCATTAAAACACAGCCATTCTCCACAACTACAAAAATCTTTGATTTAAAAATGACTTTGGATTCCTATGTCACGTTAAAAGTGTGTTGGGCATTTTATCCAGTGACTTAGATTATCCTTTCAGGAGAAATACTGTACTTCATTGTAAGTCCTTAATGAGGGACCAATTAGTCCTTCCCCTCCACTTCAAATTCCTCTGGGAAATGAGGTCAGAATCCACTTCCCACCCAAAGCACCTCATGGAGGCTGCATCAAATACTACAGCAGCATTTGTCAAAGGGGAGCCCTTTCCAAAGGCAAGATGGGTAGAAGGAGAAATCTTCATCAAGGGCTATGCCTTCCACCGACAGGCACAGAGCACAAAGAAGCTCAGCATTTACTATAAGATCTTGCACAGGAGCTGTTCAAACAAGCTGAAGCACACACCCACGAATTTCATCTCAGCGACTCTCTCTTTTACCTGCTGCCACAGGGACAGCCTTCCTGCTCCCTGATTGGGTGTCTCGCTGGCTGTGCACTCACCTGCAGGGCGCAGGGTGTCCCACCTGCATCCCCCTCCTGCTCCATCTGCATCATGCACTCAGAGGGGAGTGCCACTGCTCTGGGTCACCAGCCTGCTCTGGCTCTGCCGCAGCCTCCCAGGGGATTGAGCTCCTACTCCTTCCACTAGAAGCATGGTGAGCAAATTAGAGGTTATAAACACCTCCGGTGGAAGGAGGAGAATTCCTTTGGGCTTTGTAAGGGAACCTCGTCAGCCGCAAGAATCTCCGGGGTATAAGACATAGGTACATGCTCACCCTTGCCCCTTGGCCCTGTTGGGCATATGTGGACCACACCTTTTTCTGCCCACAATTATGGCAGAAATGCCCATCCAGGAAAATGCTGCTTCACATGTTCGAAGAATGCCTCACATGGTTGAGAATACTGCTGGTCCTCAACAAGCAGCATAAATCTATTTTTTTTTTTTTTTTGAGACAGAGTCTTGCTCTGTCACCCAGGCTGGAGTGCAGTGGCGCAATCTTGGCTCACTGCAGCCTCTACCTCTCAGATTCTAGCGATTCTCCTGCCTCTGCCTCCCCAGTAGCTGGGCTTCCAGGCACATGCCACCACACTTGGCTATTTTTTTGTATTTTCAGTCGAGACGGGGTTTCACCATGTTGGTTAGGCTGATCTCAAACTCCCGACCTCAGGTGATCCACCCGCCTCGGCCTCCCAAGGTGCTGGGATTTGCAGGCGTGAGCCACCATGCCTGGCCTAAAACTATTCTTGATGTAAGGAGAAACATATTCCTAAATGCTAAAGGCAGTGCTGCCAAATCCATGGCTCCCAGCATAGGCTAAAGTTTTATTAGGAGACCAGGAGTGCACACATCTCTGGCCAGGGACAGCAAAGAAAGGCAGCTGAGTCCTACAACACTGCTGGAAGGAGAAGCCAACAGTCTAGGATTTAAAAAAAAAAAGAAGCTGAGTCTGCCATTAAGAATGAAGTAAATTGCTAACACAGATTTTTAATGTTCTTACACACACACAAAATGATAAACTGGTGAGGTGATGAATATATTAACTAGCTTGATTGAATCTTGTTATAATGTATGCATTATAAAAACATCACACTGTACCCCATAAATATACATAATTATTGCCTATAAATATAAAAAGTTAAAACAAAAAATTAAAGAAATAAATGGTGAAGACATTTTTTAAAAAATGAATGATGCTTTCATGCATGCTACATAGCTTGTCACAACCTGCCGGAACGGGTTGCCAATGTGACATGCTTTTAAGATCACAGCCCTCCAGCAACACATTGATACCTGAAACTCCATAATTAAGAGTTATTTCCTTTTGTTTAAAGATGTTTTCTCTTTTGAAATTTCAGTATAATATGCTACTTTGGAAGTGGTATATCCAGATCTCCAAAATATATGCATATGCATATTTTAAAATCAAAGCCGAGTATTGATCCTAACTTTACCACTTTCCAGCTCTGTCACTTTGAGGAAATTATTTACTGGCTTGACCCTCAAGTTCATCCGCTGTAAAAGGAGTCACTAACGCTTGTCTCAGAAGGTTGTTACGTATATAAAACTACGCGGCCCAGACCACACCCACAGCAGCCACTCGGACACTGGTTTTCCCCTCTCTTTCTACACAGCAGGTCATAAGAAGTAAGGACAACTCAAGGATGCTGGCTTCCTGGTGTGGAATGATAAGGCGGCCAGCAAGCTGGAGTGGGGGTGGCAGGAGAAAAGGACACCTGGGCCCCATGACAGAACCTGTTTCACAAATGTGGTGAGGGGAGCTCTGCTCCAGTGCACAAAAAGGCTGCAGGCTGACACCATTTTGCAGTGTTCACTGGCAAGGCTGCTGACATAGAAACTGGCCTCCGTCAAAAAGTCACACCTCTCCTTTTCCTGGCTTGGTGTCCAGCTGAAAAGAGGAGGGGTTCATGTGCATCTGGACAGCTTTACCCCAAGGGCACCTGCAAGGTAGTAGGAGCAGATGAGGCTATGGCCAGATGACAGGGGGACATGCCAGCAGAAGGAACTAATGCAGCTTCCAACTTGCTGGTGCCCAGCCAGACCCCACTGATTTGGAGACTTTCCTGCCAACTTGCCAAAAACTGATCTGACACCCAATGGTGTCACCAAAGATGTTTTCTTTTCCTATGCATCAGTACCTCCACACCCAGGGATCAGTCTTCCTTCACCTCACTCTAAAGGGCCAGCCATCATTGCCTTCCAAGGTATGAACCAAGAAATGTCACCACTCACTCAGGTGAACAGGCCACAGAGGACTAAAAGTGCTGGCCCTATAGCAGCCTCATGCAAAAACAGATTTGTGCACTGAGAAGACTTTTGAAATTTGAAAGGCCGCTACTAAGAAGATAAACCCTCCAAAGATTTCCTTCTATCATTGTTATTCATTAAAAAAAAAACAAGCTTAGGCCGGGCATGGTGGCTCACACCTGTAATCCCAGCATTTTGGGAGGCTGAGGCGAGCGGATCATGAGGTCAGAAGATCGAAACCATCCTGGCCAACATGCTGAAACCTTGTCTCTACTAAAAATACAAAAATTAGCTGGGTATGGTGGCACGTGCCTGTAATCCCAGCTACTCAGGAGGGTGAGACAGGAGAACAGCTTGAACCAGGGAGTCAGAGGTTGCAGTGAGCAGAGATCGCGCCACTGCACTCCAGCCTGGTGACAGAGTGAAACTCCGTCTCAAAAAAAAAAAAAAAGCTTAACTTGAATGAATGGGAACAAGAGGGTTATTTAAAAAATAATAAACAGTAACAGCTATCACACCTAAAGGTGACATTATCTAGAAACATTAACATGTCAAGACATCAGCCCTTCTGTTCCTTCTGTTCCCCCAAGAGGCCTATTTGGAGCACCAGCAAAATGCATTTGGAGGATCACTAAATCTAACAGTGTTCACTGCTGTAGTGTTATGAGAGTGTTTCACTTTCAGGAAATTTCAAAAGGGAAAGGTGGGAAACAATGTGTGTCCTACATGGAAATCTCACATGTGGTTCATTGCGTCTTTTTTCTTACACAGCTGCCATTATATAATTCTTGGCCATTGTTTTTTATTTAATAATTAAGATGAATAATCTTGGGGTCATCCATTGTATATGTATCTGTGGTAGGTTTAAAAATTCCAGTTGACCTTTCCCTAGCCCCCAGTATACTTTTGGGCTACTTCCTCCCTAAGATGAGCTATGTGCACACATGTGGCACAATTTTAATACTATCTAAGCAAAACCACAAACCAATAAAAGCATCATCCGGTGCTTCTCAAAGCCAAAGGAAATGATTTTGGAGCAACACATCACTGATTACATTCCATTAATACAGATAATTAAAAGTTGACTGTATAATAATGTTAAATAGCAGGCATAACTTTTTTTGAAAATTTCTCCGTGATATTAGCTATGCAAAAACACTGACTGAATGTTCAATGCTAATCAAATTCATCTCCTCTTAAGAGCAGCGTATAATAAATGGGTAGCCTAAAAGGAATGCTTTGAACAGAATGCTTCACTATTGTCTGATTATTCTAAATTTAAAACTCCAACAAAGGAAAGGATTATTCTTCTAAGGTTCAAGATTCGTGAGGATTTGGTAACGAAATTCCTTAAGGACAGCAAATTAAAAAATTGCTATCTACAAGCTGCCACTATTTTATGTCTGTATAGTGTTTTAAAATCAAAGTCACTACCCATTCAACAACAAATGTTTGTTTGGAATAAATGAATGAAAGAAACAGCCTCAAAATACTTTACAAGTTTAATCACCTATAAGTTATGAATTAGGCAGCAACTTCAATCATTCCCAAATGATTGAATCATTTACCTCGCTGGGGTAAGGTATATGTCTGGCAAGCCAAAGCCAGAACTAGAAACTCAAGTAATTCCTTTGATTCTTAGAAAATGACGCAGTTGTTAGAGCTGGTTGCCTGCTGCAGTTGTCTTCCTGTGTACTCTCAATACAATTTGGAAGGCATGTTATCTAGGCTAGGGGAGGTAATAACAAAGGAGGCATAACAATTAGGCTTGCTCCTGAAATTATACGGGTAGTCAAAAAAACGAAGGACCCCACCATCACCTACTAAGCTATGTGATGGGTACCTAGCTGGTAAAAGGTGTTTCCAAGACCGGATCTAAGTTATTTCATAGGTAACTTTAGAAAGCACGTCCCAACGTGGCAGTGTTAAATTCATGTGTAATTTCAAAATAGGGTATCAGTGTATGAGGCATGTAGGTAGTCTAAGTTATGTGACACAGAGCATTTAGCCTACATCAAAAGCTAAAACTGAAAAATGAAATTCTTATTTAAGTATGTTGCTATCTTCACTCTAATGAGATACGTGGAACAAATTACTGGGGCTAGAATGTATTATAACAATAGTAAGGAAGAAGGTTCCTGCTGGATACTTGGTAAGAGGTGGGTGGGGTCCAGGATTTCCAGGGGACTTTGAGTTTATTCTTCCAACACTGCTAAAATGCATCTATTTTCTATTCTGACTTTCTAACAGGATGCAATCTGAGAGCCAGCCAGCCACTTAAAATCTATTTATTTCAGCTGTGCGCAGTGGCTCACGCCTGTAATCCCAGCACTTAGTGAGGCCGAGGCGGGCGGACCATGAGGTCAGGAGATCGAGACCATCCTGGCTAACACGGTGAAACCCCATCTCTACTAAAAAATACAAAAAATATTAGTTGGGTGTGGTGGCGGGCACCTGTAGTCCCAGCTACTCGGGAGGCTGAGGCAGGAAAATGGCGTGAACCCAGGAGGCGGAGCTTGCAGTGAGCCAAGATTGCACCACTGCATTCCAGCCTGGATGACAGAGTGAGACTTTGTCTCAAAAAAGAAAAAATCAATTTGTTTCAACAATCCAGAGTAGAAATACAAGTAGAAGATTTTGTGCAAGCGTATTTTGTGCAAGCGTAATCTATTTTGCAAGCAGAAAATTCTCACGTATTTTAGAGTCAGGGTTCTCAAATCATAAATCTTAAAGTTTTCAGAATCCATGCCAAGGGACTTAAGAAAATTAATATTGCCCCCATATAAGCTGTCTTTTGTATACTAAGCATCAGCAAAGCATCTGCCCCCAACAGCTATTTTACTGGTCCCAGAGGAAAGATAAGCAGAGTTGTCTTCCGCAAAATCATAAAGAAGGTCAAGTTCATCTGTAGGATCCTTCCCCTTAGGCCCTCTAGGTGCCTCCCCATTGGGCCCCAGGGGTTTCTACTCCGTAATTCTTTCCCACCCCTGCCCTGTCAACTTGAACACCAGTGAAACACCACAGTGTTTCAATATGAATACACTTCAGTCACTGTTTTTGCTCCGCCCACCAAAAAAAATCCATACTTTAAAGCTTTTAATTTTTTTAAGCTTTTAATTTTTTTAATTGAAGCATCACTTTACTTTCTTTTAAATTCTAACATCAGTGAGCAGCCAAAATTCTTTTTTTTTTTTTTTAGATGGAGTCTCGCTCTGTGACCCAGGCTGGAGTGCAGTGGCATGATCTTGGCTCACTGCAACCTTCGCCTCCTGGGTTCAAGCAAGTCTCTTGCCTCAGCCTCCCAAGTAGCTGGGACTACAGGCGCAGGCCACCATGCCCTGCTAATTTTTGTATTTTTAGTACAGATGGGGTTTCACCGTGTTGGCCAGAATGGTCTTGATCTCTTGACCTCATGAACCACCCGCTTCGGCCTCCCAAAGTGCTGAGATTACAGGCGTGAGCCACTGAGCCTGGCCGCAGCCCAAATTCTGAACGGGGAAAGAGGATAAGGTAACGTCTCCTACTTTTGCAAGCTTCTTTTGCTTCCTATGAAGGCTTGCCATAAAGATAGAAATGCTTTGACATCACAAACTGGGTTCATGTTCCACTGTGACCATGGACAGGCTATGTAACTGAGCTTCGGCTACTCATTTACAAAACAGGAATTATCATAATATAATGTAATGTAATATAATAATTATGAGATAATGATATAAAGTGATTGGCCCATTGCAATGTTAAAGAGCCCTCTCAGAAGGAGCACCATACTTTCTTTCTAAGTGCCGATAAAATAAAAGATAAAAGCAGCCGACTGGGATTGACCCAGCCACCTCTGCTAAGGGCCTCCTACCTAGAGTCACCTCACTGGGACCTGGGACAGCATGATTCTTACCAGTTTCTGAGAGCTTGAGGTCTTGGGCCCTCGAGCCAGGCGTCCGCTAAAGGCAGGTCTGAGGTTAGCCCATTTCCCAGTTACCATTCTCCTTTCCCCTGGCTTTTCTCCTTCCAAGAGGCTTTAAGCCTTTCCCACTCCTCCCTCCTCTCCTTCTGGTCCCCTGCCTCAACTCACCCAGAGACTGAGAATGCAGTACCATTCCTCACTGGGCCACCTTCCCTTTCCAGGCTCCATACTCCATTCTGTAATAAAGTTCTCATGGGGAGACCTCCAACAGCCCAACAGTTGAGTGTACACAGCCTTGAGTGCTTAGCGGCCAGAACCTCATTGAAAACACAGTTCCATAAGGAAAGGCAGGTTTTAAGACGAGCAGGTGACCAGGCAGGCCCCCACCATAAATGGGGTGAGCTCGCCAAAAGCTAGGCTTGACTTAGGCCTCATTTGGAGGTCTGAGTTGAATTTCAAAAATCAAATACAAAAACACTGGCAGAAGTTTAGAGAGGCAGAAAAGAGCATTACCACAAGAAAAGACGCGGGAGGCTTCACCAGAACAGGCAGGAGGAAGTAGGTGAGGCACAGCAGGTGAAGTGGGGGAAGTGTTCCACCAGGTGAAACTGGCCTGGTGGCTGTGGGGTACAGGGGAAGAGGTGAGCAGGCTGGGGTGGGGATGAGGACAGTGGCAGAAGATTGACGAAGGCATTGTGCAGCACCCCATGCAAAGGGGCGCCTCTCCGTCACACAGGTACTGGCATGAGGGTGTGGGGACCGAGTCCTATGAGTTCCTGGGTCTCTACCAGGATTTTCCAGGTCAGCATCGAGTGATACTATCTCTCCTAGAAGTGGTGGGAACTGATGGGAATGACCATGGAAGCTGAATCCACAAACCAAGGGTCTCCTTATCTTGTCCTCTCATGGATAAGGCTTCGTAAAGGGGGGATTCCTCAAGGTCTTTTAACCAAGTCTGCACATGGGAGAAAACGATGGAAAGCAGATGGAAATGCTTCTCAAGAACCTCTCAATACAAAGAGATAAAGAGGAACAGGCCAGGCACATGGCACACACCTGTAACCTCAGCACTTTGGAAGGCCAAGGAGGGAAGACCACTTGAGCCCAGGAATTCAAGACCAGCCTGGGCAACACAGCAAAACTCTGTCTCAAAAAAAAAAAAAAAAACAAAAATTATCGTGGCACGTGGTGCACATCTATAGTTCCAGCTACTCAACTGACTGAGGTGGTAGGACCATTGCTTGAGCCCAGGAGTTCGAGGCTGCAATGAACCACAATTGTATCACTGCTCTCCAGCCTGGGTGATGGAGAGAGACCCTGTATCTAAAAAAAAGAAAACAAAATTAAAAGAAATAAAGAAAATGTCTCAGGAAGAAGTTGTTCCTCTTCAGACAACTGGATTTTGTTTCTCTTCTTTTTTTTTTTTTTTTTTAGACAGGCTTGCTTTGTTGCCCAGGCTAGAGTGCAGTGGTACAATCAGAGCTCACTGCAGCCTCAGCCTCCTGGAACCAGGTGATCCTCCCACTTCAGCCTTCTGAGTAGCCGGGACCACAGGCACACATCACCATGCCTGGCTGATTAAAAAAAAAAAATGTAGAGATGAGGCCTCACTATGTTGCCCAGGCTAGTCTCAAACTCCTGCCCTAAGCAATCCTCCCACTTTGGCTTCACAAAGTGCTGGAAATACACACTCAAGCCACTGCACCCAGCTGACCACCTGGATTTTGGAAAAGAGGAAAACGGAAGTCTGACTGTTAGATGTGGGAATCAGATGTTTTCATGTTATATATGTGAATTATATTACATGCACATGTATGGTGCATATCATAACAAGAGAAAGTGTTAAACACACTAGAGACATTAGAAAACAAATCAAGGACTGAGGAACAATAAAAAGTGTTGCAATGGTGTAAAAGTAATACAAATTATAGTCTTTTACGTGAACTGCTTCCACTAATGCCCAATTACTATGCAGCACAGTATCAATTTAGTGGATCATGAACTACGTATCCGATTGACTCACTTGTATAAGTTACATTTTATGACAACACTAAATTCTCCTTTATATGTTCAGGCTCCCTATTTTGTGATGCGTGTAATTGCAGAACTTGGGAGCTAGAATGGACCTTGAGGAGATCCCTTACGCCAACGCTTTCACTTCACAGATGTAGACACCGAGGCTTAAAGAGGGTATGACTTTCCCAAGGCCACAAGAGGACTAGTTTACAGCAGAGCTGGGCTTATATAACAGGGCTGCCCATGAGCCCTGCAAGGCTCCAGAGCTATTCTTAAGATCCTCTGCACTTAGACAATGCTGCAGGGACACACTCTCTTCTTTATTTTGTAAGAACATTTGCTCACAATTCAAAATTATTCAAAGAGAATGGGAAACAGGTATGATGCATGGGGGAAGAGGTATGCTCAGGGATTCAGATGCTGGAGCTCTTGGTTAAGCAACTTTTGGATCATATGATACTTAGAAGAACTACCATCTCTCTCAGTAAGAAGATTAGCAGGAGAATACATATGGTACAGTAGAAAAATGCAGGTTATTCAAGCAGTGACCCTAGGATGAGCCTCAAAGCTTACTAGCTATGTGGTCTGGAACAAGCTATAGAAACTTGCCGGGTCTATATTCCCTTAACCGTAAAATGGCCAAGATAACGATACTGACCAGGTGTAGTGTCTCATGCCTATAATCCCAGCACTTTGGGAGGCTGAGATGGGAGGATCACTTGAGCCCAGGAGTTCAAGACCAGCCTGGGAAACATGTGAGACCCTAACTTTACAAATAATGTTTAAAAAATTAGCCAGGTGTGGTGGCACGTACATATAGTCCAGATACTCAGGAGGATGAGGTGGGGGGATCGCTTGAACCCAGGAGTTCAAGGCTGCTGTGAGGTACAATCACGCCACTGCACTCCAGCCTGGAGTACAGTGTGTCACTCTGGAGACAGAGCGAGACCCTGTCTCAAAAACAAACAAACAAAAAGAATGACAATTAACTCAAAGAGTTATGGGATGAGATAAGGTTCTATATTTAGAACACCTAGCACAGGACATAGGCTCAATCAATATTCAGTATTCAATAAATATTTCTTTACTATGTCTCCTTACATAGTGCTGCTAAGAAAGCCTCACCTGCGAACACATGTGATGGGTACCTGGATGGTGAAACGTATTTCCAAGACCAGGTCTAAGTTATTTCATGGATACTATGAAATCTAATGTTATCTTAAGATCCAAAGTGCAGAGGATCTTAAGAATAGCTCTGGAGCCATGCAGGGGATAATGGGCAGCCCTGTTTTGTTTGTTTGTTCGTTTGTTTGTGGTTTTTTTGTTTGTGGGTTTTTTTTTTTATTTTTATTTTTTGAGACACAGTCTTGCTCTGTCGCCCAGGCTGGAGTCCGGTGGTGCGATCTCGGCTCACTGTGACCTCCGACTCCTGGGTTCAAGTGATTCTCCTGCCTCAGCCTCCCAAGTAGCTGGGACTACAGGCGCCTGCCACCAAACCTGGCTAATTTTTTGTATTTTTAGTAGAGATGGGGTTTCGCCGTGTTAGCCAGGACGGTCTTGATCTCCTGACCTCGTGATCCGCCCGCCTCAGCCTCCCGAAGTGCTGGGATTACAAGCATGAGCCATCACGCCCGGCCCTAAATTGAATTTTGGGGGAAAGTATACAGTTCCATGAGTTGTGTGTGTGTGTGTGTGTGTTGTTTGTTTGTTTTTGAGACGGACTTTTGCTCTTATTGCGCAGGCTGGAGTACAATGGTGCGATCTTGGCTCACTGCAACCTCTGCCTCCCGGGTTCAAGCGATTCTCCTGCCTCAGCCTCCCAAGTAGCTGGGATTACAGGCATGCGCCAACATGCCCAGCTAATGTTTTGTATTTTTAGTAGAGATGGGGTTTCACCAGTTTAAAACTCCTGACCTCAGGTGATCCACCCGCCTTGGCCTCCCAAAGTGTTGGGATTACAGGCATGAGCCACCGCGTCCGGCCAGGCAGCCCTGTTATATAAGCCCAGCTCTGCTGTAAACTAGTCCTTTGTGGCCTTGGGAAAGTTATACCCTCTCTAAGCCTCAGTTTCTACATCTGTGAAGTGAAAGGGTTGGCGTAAGGGACCTCTCCAAGGTCCATTCTAGCTCCCAAGTTCTGCAATTATGTGCATCACAAAATAGGAAACCTGGACATATAAGGGAGAATTAAGTGTTGTCAAAAAATGTAAATTATGCAAGTGAGACAATCAGACACATGTTTCATGATCCACTTAATTGATATTGCGCTGCATGGTAATTGAGCTTGGAAAGCATGTCCCAATGTGTCAGTGTTATATTCATGTGTAACTTCAAAATGGAATGTCAGTGTCTGGGGTGGGTGGGAAATCCAAAGGGAAGTTCTAAGAGTGAAGCCTGTTTCCATCTGATAGGTCAAAATACATGAATATGTACCCATCTCTCTAGGCAACCATGGTCAACTGTTGAAAACCACTTCTTGCTTTACATCAAAATGTGTTAGTAGAAAACAAAAATACCTTGGGTCAAGCATATCCCCAAATTCCTAAAGATGGCTCTTTGCTCATTTTTTATGCCCAAAATCTCTAAGAAATTGATCACAGATCCTAATATGGTCAACCACAGGTCTGCAGGTCACAACATATCTTTTTGGGCATGGTCTGAAATGCCCAAGGCATCCGAGGAAAAAGACGTGCTTGGTCTATAGACAAAGGCCCCTCAATCGGTGGTGAGACAATAGGATTCTACAGTCTTCTTATGACATCCACTTCCCATATATAATCTTGTTAGTAAATGAAACATTAAAGTCTCATGGAGAAAAAAGTCTGCAGTGTCTGTTTTATGCTATAAACAGATCTCCAGCTGAAATTGCTATGTGCTGAATGACATTGGAGTGGGAGCCACTGGCTTTACCTGCAAGCCTCAGCTTTAGTCCAGATCTGTTCCACGCAACCCTGGCAATATTACCTCTGTTCTAGAACCATCTGCGACTTGGATGTTCTGCCAAGCAAACAAACCTGCTCTACATCTGTCTGCCTATCCAGCTCTCTCTCTTTCTGTCTCTCTCCAAGGTCTCTCTTTTTCTAAGTCACCTTTGTTGACAATCATTGCAGCTGGACCAGTGAGAAGGGATAAAATAGAAGTCAATAAATAAAGCTCTTCTGGGTTCATTAAGCCTATGACCTACCCTCTGCCCATGCACACTTGATTTCTATCTTCTTAATTTTGACTACACTGTGTTTGGATGTGGGGAGAACTATTTTTTCACTCTTATTCAAAGACGTGTGACACTATTATTCTTTGTTTCCTTAAAATATGTTGGCATTCTTCTCTCCCTAGTAGGAGAGCGCCTGCAAGGATCACAAAAGCTTCTGGGGAGAAGCAATAATCTGCTGAATAACCAGGCCCCAGCTGCCAAATGCCACTGGGAAAAGTGCAAAGGGTGAATTGGGCACCACTCTGAATCATAAACATTATTACAGGCAAAGTGACTGGCTGCTACTTGAGAGTTCTTCTGTACCTAATTGGACCATGCAGCGTGATACTCCTGGGGACCATTACAGGGATACAGGTGTAGCTTACAATATACAAAAGCTGTGTGTCTGACAATCTACGTGTAAGCCTAACTTTTTACATTACTTGGTGTGCTAAGTGTCCTGAGGGAGTTCATTATTTAGAGAACTCCATAAATACTTTTGTAAAATTCACATTCCTCTCCATTTGTGTTTTGTAAATTTCCCCTCTCTGTCTTTAGAGCACGTCATCAATCTGAACATCCATTTCCCACAAATATAAAGATGGGGGGAAGTCTACACCAGTGCTGAAAAAAAAGGAGGGCACCCAGCATTTTTAACATTAAGACATTTTGTTAGATAGACCAGAGAAAGCATCACATAAAAGGCTGAATCAGAAATGTGTGTTGGGATTCTCTTTCTTGAAAAGGTGGCACAGCACTGTGAGAAGAAACAAGAAGAGATTCTGACAGAGCACTGGTTAGAAATCTTCCTAAAATGGACTGAACGCTGGAGGTGAGAGCAGGCTAGCAAACCAGATAGTGTCTGGTGTCCAGGGCATTCACATTCGGAAGGCACTAAGAAGAGAACCAAGCATAAGTCCTCCATGCCCATGGCCATCTGGTGGGATGTGAGATGTCTCTCTACATAGCAGGACTCTGATGCCAGAAAAATGCATCCTCTGCTACAAAGGGGGCTTGGAGTGAAGCTAGGGTCAGGGAGAAGTTCAGAATGAGAACCACTGTCTCTTGCACGATGGCTTCACCCATTGCCAAGCAGCAACCATGCAAGGAAGAACCCCAATAGAGATTGCCCTGTGGCTCCAGCTCCCTACAAATTTGTGCAGCTGCTGAAAAACACACCTGGTCTAGTACATTTTTAAGAACAAAGCCTTCAGCTTAAGACCGAGGAAAGGAGTCCAACCTTTCCCTAATGGTACAGAGATTATTTGAGAACAATTTCCAGGGCGGGCTAGCCCTCCCATCATTCAATGATGAGCAGACCCAAAACTGGCAACATTGGGCTTATAAGGACTTGGTTAACAAAACAAGAAACATCCAAGAAATAAAGGAAGAAGACGATTTCAAAAAATATTTACTACTGGAAATAGAAACAAGTTTCAGACAAGATGTGATTTGCACCTTTGAAGAAGGAGGAGGAAAAAGAAGGGGAGGAGACCCAGACTTAGGCGTGAATGACAAGTAAATGAAAACAAAAAGAAACACCAACTTACAAAAAAAAATTAGGATTTTTTTTCAATGACTGATTTTCCAAAGTATTATTTAAAACTACATTCGATGCAATGAAAAGGAAAAACAGCCTTTGGAGCATCAAACCAGCAAGTGAAGAACAAACCTGAAAAAGTCTCCCAAAAGGCACTGGAAAAAAGATGAAAAGTATAAACAAATCAGATAGATGCTAATGGATACAGGAGACAAAGTAGGAAGCCAACATAGAGATAGCATGATTGATGCATAGTCAAAGTAAATACCACAGAAGCAATTATTAAAGAAATAATGAAAGAAAATTTTTCTAAACTGAAGAAATACAGAGTAAACCAACCAACCAACCAACCAACCAACCAAAAACTCACTCTATACAAGAAGAAAAAAATGAAAACTGATATAAATATTAATATAAATTAATAAATTAAAGAAAACTTCCATCTATTTATTTACCTTCTGGTGCAACTTTTGAGGTCAAAACAACTCATAAGCATTCAGTGAGGAGGAAAAGAAATACAGGTAACCAGGTCACCAAGGTGGAAAAAAAATCAGATTTCTGACAATAGAAGAAATAAAACAACTACACAGCTCTAATGGCAAAGGGTTCTGATACAAAAATTCCAAACTAACCAACTTTCCTACTAAGGTATGAGAGTTAAAAAATAAAAAAGGCATTCTTGGATCCCAAGGAGCAACAAAAACACAATGTATTTCATAGAATATATTTGAAGAAGCTCCCTAATCAATCAAAAATTTAATTTTAAACAATAAAGAAAAGGGGTAGTTGTGCTTTAAAACAGTTCACAATATGGATTCAGGCCCAGCACAGGGGCTCATCCCTGTAATCCCAGAACTTTGGGAGGCCGAGGTGGGAGGATTGCTTGAGGCCAAGAGTTTAAAACCACCCGGGACAACACATCGAGACGTCATCTATAAAAAAAAAAAAAAAAAATAAAGTTAGCCAGGCGTGGGGCTGTGTGCCTGTAGTCCCAGCTACTTAGGAGGCTGAGGTGGGGGATCCTTTAGAGCCAGGAGGTCAAGGCTGCAGCGAGTTATGATCCCACCAGTGCACTCCAGGCTGCACCACAGAGCAAGACCCTGTCTCTAGAGAAAAATATATACACATATAAGGAGAGCATATAACAAACAACTGAATATCGTTATAAAAAGGAACACAGATATAGATAATCCTTATTAAGAAAAGTTACATAATATTTAAAAGTAATCATAAACTGGATCAAAACATCTATATGTCTATATCTAACTTTAAAAAAGAAAAGGAGAATTCCAAAGGAGAATAAAATGTGTTAATCTTATCTTATACAGGGAGGAGGTATGGTCAGCCAGCTTCCTCACTTTGCTCATACAGAAATATAGGTCATATTTAGTCAAATTTAAGAAGACAACTAGAAGATTAAATATAAGGTATGAGTATTACAGACAGTAAATCATATCACACAAAATGGAAAATGAGGGAAATATCAAGGAATCATAAAACCAAAAGAATAAAAAGATGACAAAAATTAGAATAAGCGTATCAACATTGAAGACAGGTATTAATTCGTTTTGAAAAGCAAAAGAATCTCAGATGGTGTCATAAATTAAGAATGCCCTTAGACTATCTGCAAGAAACCCATAAAAGTTACAAGAAGATTGGGGCAAAGGAATACCAGGAAACTGCACATTTAGAAGTGACAGTTTTACAACTGTTAATACAAAATCAGTATTACATATCTAAAGCATTCAACAGGGGTGAAATTTTTACTGACAAGAGATACATTCCAAAGAATTAAGTCAAAATTGTATGTGTCAAGATAGTAGAGCATGGAAATATATAAAGAAAATAAAACAGAGATTGAGAGACATGCAATAATGTTAAAGTCTACCCCACTGCATTCAGTCCTTGGAAAAATAAGCAGATGAAATTTTTTTTTTTTTTTTTTTTTTTTTTTTGAGACAGAGTCTCACTCTGTTGCCCATTCTGGAGTGCAGTGGCTCCATCTCGGCTCACTGCAAGCTCCGCCTCCTGGGTTCATGCCATTCTCCTGCCTCAGCCTTTCGAGTAGCTGGGACTACAGGTGCCCGCCACCACACCCGGCTAATTTTTTGTATTTTTAGTAGAGACGGGGTTTCACCATGTTAGTCAGGACGGTCTCGATCTCCTGACCTCATGATGCGCCTGCCTCAGCCTCCCAAAGTGCTGGGATTACAGGTGTGAGCCACCGCGCCCGGCCAGCAGATGAAAATTTAATAAAGATATAGAGAAGTAGGATAAAATCATAAATATGGCAGATCTGATGACAAGATAAGCCTGATTAGATTTAATTAGAGCATGCATCTTCTATACAGGGGCTCATGGAACATTAACAAAAATGAATCCTGTATTGGAACATAAAATAAATTTTACTACCTTTCAATATTCTGTGACCACAATGCAACAAAACTCATTAATAGACAGAAGTGTAAACAATTCAAATTAACTTGTACATTCAAAAAGAATTCTTCTAAATAGGTGTAGAGTATAAAAGATAATAAATTATGGAATCACAGACTGAGACAATAAAGATAATGAGAAAATTATGTATCAAAGTGTAGGCAGCTTACAGTCAGAGGCAAATATCTTTAGTATTTTTATCATTAAGAAAAATTAAAAATAAAAGATCAACTCAATAAATTAGAAAAGGGGGTGGGACACGGTGGCTCACACCTTTGTAATCCCAGCACTTTGGGAGGTCGGGCAGGCAGATCACGAGGTCAAGAGATTGAGACCATCCTGGCCAACATGGCAAAACTCCATCTGTACTAAAAATACAAAAATTAGCTGGGCATGGTGGCACGCACCTGTAGTCCCAGCTACTTGGGAGGCTGAGGCAGGAGAATCACTTGAACCCGTAAGGTGGAGGTTGCAGTGAGCCGAGAGTGCACCACTGCACTCCAGCCTGGTGACAGAGAGAGACTCTGTCTTAAAAAAAAAAAAAAAGAAAGGGAAATAAACCTAAGAAAAGCAATATAAAGGAAAAGCACATAAAACTATCCAAATGTGAGATAAAAATTATTTTGGCCGGGCGCGGTGGCTCACGCCTGTAATCCCAGCACTTTGGGAGGCCGAGGCGGGTGGATCATGAGGTCAGGAGATCGAGACCATCCTGGCTAACAAGGTGAAACCCCGTCTCTACTAAAAATACAAAAAATTAGCCGGGCGCGGTGGCGGGCGCCTGTAGTCCCAGCCACTCGGGAGGCTGAGGCAGGAGAATGGCGTGAACCCGGGAAGCGGAGCTTGCAGTGAGCCGAGATTGTGCCACTGCAGTCCGCAGTCCGGCCTGGGCGACAGAGCGAGACTCCGTCTCAAAAAAAAAAAAAAAAAAAAAAAATTATTTTAAAAGGCTATTAATTAGCTAGCAGTAAGTCTATCTTATTTTTGCATATATTTTAAAATATATACAAAATGTTTTAAAATATATACAAAAATAAGATTGACTTACTGCTAGCTAATCTTAAGTTTCAGAGAACAAACCAAATTAAAAATAAGAAGTGGAATAAATTCACAAATATTGAGAATGTTTTAAATTTTTAAAATATGTAATATTTGACTGTGTTAACAAAATTTTGAATATAGAAATGGTCAGGTCCGGTGGCTCACACCTGTAATCCCCATGCTTTGGGAGGCTGAGGCAGGATTGCTCAAGGCAGGAGTTTGAGACCAGCCTGAGCAATATAGTGAGACCCCATCTCTACAAAAAAGTTAAAAAAGAAAAAGAGCCAGGCATAGTGGCATGCACCTGCAGTCCCAGCTACTTGGGAGGCTGAGGCGGGAGGATTGCTTGAGCCCAGGGGTTCAAGGTTGCAGTGAGCTATGACTGCACCACTGCACTCCAGCCTGGGCAACAGAGCAAGACCCTGTCTTGATAAAATAAAATAATATAAATAGAAATGACAAATTTTCTAGAAACATTAAAATGCTTTAATATTAATTTAAGAAGTAAAAATCCTGATCAAAAAAATTATTATAGACAAACTTTTAGGGGTGGGGAGGCTTTCATAATATAACAACCAAAAAATGACATAATTCTAATAACTTTGGGGACAGGTAATTTCAAAGCTTCCAGGATGCTACATGTGCCTTAATGGGGGCAAAGGTACCCTTCCTTTCTCTCACTTTTCTTCTCCTTGAGGCAACTCAGAGGAGCGATTGTGGAAATTTCCGAAGCTGCTATATGTCAGCTTGCCCATTTGTATGGAATTTCATGGTTTTTTTGACAAGTCAGTCTTTTTGTCATCATCGCATCTTGAGAGTAGAGAGGAAGGGAATGGAAGGGAGAACTGTTACTATCAGAGGCTTCTGGAAATCCCCGCTTGATGGTACATGACTCTTTCTTAAGAATGGTTCTCTTTTATGGGTTGCCATTTTGGTGACAATTGGTGCACTCAGCTCTACCTCTTGGTGGGCCCCAGTGTACTTCAGCATGATCTCAGTTCTTTCTTTCTCTACCAGTTTCCATGATACATACATCCTGAAAATCACAGCATCACCATTCAATAGACAAAAATTATCATTATCAAAGCGGCCAAAAAGGTTTTCTCTTAAATATTCTGTGGGAAAGAGGGTTGAAAATTAGAATAGAATACTATGTATTTGCCACAGTAAAAGATATCTACCACAAACCAGTAGCCAATATTATATTAAAAGTTAAAAACAAGAGTCAATGATTAAATTCAGGCCACATGCGGTGGCTCATGCCTGTAACCCCAGCACTTTGGGAGGCTGAAGCGGGTGGATCACTTGAGGTCAGGAGTTTGAGACCAGCCTGGCGAACATGGTGAAACTCCGTCTCTACTAAAAATACAAAAATTAGCCAGGCGTGGTGTTGCATGCCTGTAATCCCAGATACTTGGGAGTCTGAGGCCGGAGAATCACTTGAGCCTGGGAGGCAGAGGTTGCAATGAGCCAAGATCGTGTGCCACTGCACTCCAGCCTGGGCAACAGAGCAAGACCCTGTCTTGATAAAATAAAATGAAATAAAATAAAATAATATAAATACAAATGACAAATTTTCTAGAAACATTAAAATGCTTTAATATTAATTTAAGAAGTAAAAATCCTGATCAAAAAAATTATTATAGACAAACTTTTAGGGGTGGGGAGGCTTTCATAATATAACAACCAAAAAATGACATAATTCTAATAACTTTGGGGACAGGTAATTTCAAAGCTTCCAGGATGCTACATGTGCCTTAATGGGGGCAAAGGTACCCTTCCTTTCTCTCACTTTTCTTCTCCTTGAGGCAACTCAGAGGAGCGATTGTGGAAATTTCCGAAGCTGCTATATGTCAGCTTGCCCATTTGTATGGAATTTCATGGTTTTTTTGACAAGTCAGTCTTTTTGTCATCATCGCATCTTGAAAGTAGAGAGGAAAGGAATGGAAGGGAGAACTGTTACTATCAGAGGCTTCTGGAAATCCCCGCTTGATGGTACATGACTCTTTCTTAAGAATGGTTCTCTTTTACGGGTTGCCATTTTGGTGACAATTGGTGCACTCAGCTCTACCTCTTGGTGGGCCCCAGTATACTTCAGCATGATCTCAGTTCTTTCTTTCTCTACCAGTTTCCATGATACATACATCCTGAAAATCACAGCATCACCATTCAATAGACAAAAATTATCATTATCAAAGCGGCCAAAAAGGTTTTCTCTTAAATATTCTGTGGGAAAGAGGGTTGAAAATTAGAATAGAATACTATGTATTTGCCACAGTAAAAGATACCTACCACAAACCAGTAGCCAATATTATATTAAAAGTTAAAAACAAGAGTCAATGATTAAATTCAGGCTGCATGCGGTGGCTCATGCCTGTAACCCCAGCACTTTGGGAGGCTGAGCGGGTGGATCACTTGAGGTCAGGAGTTTGAGACCAGCCTGGTGAACATGGTGAAACTCCGTCTCTACTAAAAATACAAAAATTAGCCAGGCATGGTGTTGCATGCCTGTAATCCCAGATATTTGGGAGTCTGTGGCCGGAGAATCACTTGAGCCTGGGAGGCAGAGGTTGCAATGAGCCAAGATCGTGCGCCACTGCACTCCAGCCTGGGTGACAGAGCAAGACTCTGTCTCAAGAAAAAAAAAAATTAAATTCAGGAATAAAGTCAAGTGTATTTGTATCTGCTCTTCCATTATTATTTGGCATACCATCAGGATGCTGTAGAAGAAATAAAAGTTAAAAATATTAAAATACAGGAGACAAAATTATCATTATTGGAAATGTTATTGTCTACTTAGAATATCTAAGGGAATTAGCTGAAAGACTCTAGAACTGAGATCAATATTATGGTCAGTTGACCAGGCACAGTGGCTCATATCTGTAATCCCAGCATTTTGGGAGGCCAAGGTGGGTGGCTCACCTGAGGTCAGGGGTTTGAGACCAGCCTGGCTAACATGGTGAAACCCTGTCTCTACTAAAAATACAAAAATTAGCCAGGTGTGGTGGTACACACCTGTAATCCCAGATACTTGGGAGGCTGAGACAGAAGAATCACTTGAACCTGGGAGGCAGAGGCTGCAGGGAGCTGAGATCATGCCACTGCACTCCAGCCTGGGTGACAGAAGGAGACTGTGTCTCAAAAAATATATATAATATATTTTATATATAGTATATAATATATTTTATAATATATTATATACTATATATAAAATATTTTATATATTTATATAAAATATATTATATAATGTATAATATAAAATTATATATATTATATATTAATAATTATATATAATGGTCAGTTACTAGAAGATATACATATACCCCTCCACACACACTTACATAGACATACTAATAGTTTTCCTAAAACGCAATGATAATCAGGTGAAAATTTCCCTTATACAGTAGTCTCCCCATAGCCACGGTTTTGCTTTCCATGGTTTTATTTATTGGTCAATTTGCTGTCTGAAAATAGGCGAGTACAGTACAAGAAGATATTTGGAGACTGAGAGAGATCACATCCACATAACTTTTATTATAGTATATTTTTATATAAGTATTTTATTTGATTATTAGTTATTGTTGTTAATCTCTAATTTATACATTGAATTTTATCATGGTGTGTACGTACAGGAAAAAACACAATCTATATAGGGTTTGGTACTAACTGGCAGTTTCAGGAATCCACCAGGGGTATGGAACATGCCCCCAGTTGATCGGGGGGACTACTGTATAAGGAAAATAAAGATTAAGTGCACAATTATAACCAACACTGTAAAATCTCTAAAGAAAACAAGAACTGCTCAGATTCTATAAAAACAGAAAATGCATTACTAAAAAACTAAAGGAAAAACATTGTGCATGGATCAAAAATTACAAGAGTTCAGTAAAGACTTCCATTCTCTCTGAATTGATATCTAATCTATTAAATTAAATTTTATTTTGAAAAGATGTTTTAAAATCTGACTAAATTAGTCTATGTACACATGAAAGAATAAATAGACTAAAAATAGCTAATAAATGCTGAAAAAAAATATATGAAAGAATCTAATTATATTAAAATCTTCTAAACTCATAGAATCAAAAGCAAAATAGAAAAAAAACAAATATCAAGATAACAGAATATAAGGCTTAGAAATGCGGATCACGAGGTCAGGAGATCGAGACCATCCTGGCTAACACAGTGAAACCCCGTCTCTACTAAAAACACACACAAAAATTAGCCGGGCGTGGTGGCGGGCGCCTGCAGTCCCAGCTACTCGGGAGGCTGAGGCAGGAGAATGGCCTGAACCCGTGAGGCGGAGCTTGCAGTGAGCCGAGATCACGCCGCTGCACTCCTGCCTGGGCAATAGAGAGAAACTCTGTCTCAAAAAAAAAAAAAAAAGAAATATACTCATGTTTCTAAAAACATTTAGTTTTTATTAGTACTTAATAAAGATGATGTCTCCTCTCAGTGGGGCAAAAGACTAATAAATACATAATGTGAGAACAACTGATCTAATATTTGACAAAAGTTCATTGAATCCTCATGTCTAAGATCGCACATCAAAATAAACGATAAATATAAACTATGAGATAATAAAGAACTACAATAAATTGTGGGTAAATAGTTATCTGACCCTAGTGAATGGAAGGCTTTTCTAGGTATAAAAGCAAAAAAAAAAATTAAAAAAAAATTGCAGCCATAAAAAAGAATGAGATCATGTCCTTTACAGGGACATGGATGAAGCTGGAAACCATCATTCTCAGCAAACTAACCCAGGAACAGAAAACCAAACACCGCATGTTCTCACTCATAAGTGGGAGTTTAACATTGAGAACACATGGACACAGAGAGGGGAACATCACACACCGGGGCCTGTCGGAGGGAGGGACAAGGGGAGGAAGAGTGTTAAGACAAATACCGAATGCATGCAGGGCTTAAAACCTAGATGACAGGTTGATAGGTACAGCAAACCACTATGGCACATGTATACCTATGTAACAAACCTGCAAGTTCTGCACGTGTATCCCAGAACTTAAAGTAAAACAAACAAAACAAAAGAATTCAGGCAGGGTGTGGTGGCTCATGCCTGTAATCCCAGCACTTTGGGAGGCCGAGGCAGATGGATCACCTGAGGTCACGAGTTCGTGACCAGCCTGGCCAACATGGCGAAACCCCATCTCTACTAAAAATACAAGAAATTAGCTGGACGTGGTGGTACACACCTGTAGTCTGGAGGCTGAAGCAGGAGAATCGCTTGAACCCGGGAGGCGGAGGTTGCAGTGAGCCAAGATCGTGCCACTGCACTGCAGCCTGGGTGGCAGAGCGAGACTCCGTCTCAAAAAAAAAAAAAAAAAGGATTCAACTGTGGGAAAAAAAAAAAGCAAAACACTTTTTGAAAATTATTAATATGCTTGACTACACAGATATTTTGATTTTGTAAATAAAAATCAACGTAAGTAAAATTCAAAGGAAAATATCAAAGTGGGAAAAATATTTCCAATACCATTAAACAAAGAGTTAATATCCTTAATACAAAATAAATACATGTAATTGTGAGTAAAAGGAAAAACTTTCTAAGACAAAAATAAGCAATGAACACGAATGGCCAATTTAAAAAAGAAATGTAAAAAACAGAGAAACATAAGGAAAATATCCACCCTCACTTGAAACTACACTAAAAAAAGCAAATTAAAACAAGATATAATTTTTAACTTATCAAATTGGCAGAGTTTTTGTTTGTTTCTTTTTTTTTTAATTACAGTACTTAGTGTTGTCCAGAGTGCAGACACATGAACGTTCTTTGTCATGGTTGGCAAGTGCTCAAGAAGAGTAATTTAATAACACATATCAAAAGCCTTATAAAGGGCCTTACTATTTGAGCCACCAGCTCTAGTTCTGGAAATTTATCCTAAGGAAACAACCAGAGATGTTGAAAAAAGATATATATGTTCAAGAAGTCCAGCACAGCATCACTAAACGATAGCACAATATCTGGAAAATTAAATGCTAGATAAATAGATTATGGATGGAAATTACAGTATCTATGAGTGATGTAAAACTTACGATAGGCCCTAAGATCACACTGTGTGGGCTTGAAAATCACACAGCAGCATGTTTACAATATACAGACCCCTGGTAAATATCAGGCAGCTAGCTCACAAACAGTAAATCAGCATGATCCCAGTTAAAAAATCTATATGACTAGAGACACTAAAAATGTTCATATTTATCGTATGCGTGATCTGCTCTGCATTCTTTTCTGTATTTCCAGTTTTTCTAAATGAATATATACATCCCTTCTGTGATCAGGGAAACAATAAACAATTTCTGGGGCATGCCCTGGAGTCAGACTGCTTGGATTCAAATCATAGCTCTATAGCCATGCGTGGCAACATGCACTATAGTCCCAGCTACACAGGAGGCTGAGGGGCAAGGATCGCTTGAGCCCAGGAGTTGGAGGCCAGCCTGAGCAACATAATGAGACTCCGTCTCTAAGGGAAAAAAAAAAAGAAAAAAAAAAAACATAGCTCTATCACTTTAAGATCTGCCACCTTGGGCAAGTTGCTTATCCTCTCTGAGCCTCAACTTCCTGTTCTGTCAAATGGGGCTAATAACACTATGCTGTTGGGCTGCTGTGGCAATTGAATTTTACATGTATGTAAAGCACTTAGTACAGCATCTGGACCATAATAAGAGCTCATTATATATTAGTATTATTTTGATTTTAAAACAATAACCCCCCTCAACCAAACTTTTACAGTAGGAGAAACCTTGATCTTATTTCTATGCTAGAGGAAAAGCAGTAGTCTTCAAAGGCTGTAAACACAAAATGTTAAATATTCACATACATATTCTCTCTCTCTCTCTCTGTCTCTCAAACACACACACACACACACACACACACACACACACACACAGAATATGTGAATATTTAACATAACTATAATTTCCAACCATAATCTATTTATCTAGCATTCAATTCTCCAGATATTGTGCTATCGTTTAGTGATGCTGTGCTGGACTTCTTGAACATATATATCTTTTTTCAACATCTCTGGTTGTTTCCTTAGGACAAATTTCTCTGTCTCTCTCTCTCTCACACACACATACACACACAGACAGAGAGAGAGAGATGAAGATTCTCATATCCTAGGATCCTAAGAAATTGGGGCAATCTTTAATATGCATCTTTAAGGAGATCATCTGAGTTTGGTCAACCCAAGTCGAAGAGGTACGTTATATAAAGAAGCTAGATGATCTAAGAAAACAGAGGTTGTTGATCATCAGTTGGCCCATATATGCCCCCCCAAAAGGCTTTAGCCCTCCATGGCACAGGTGTATTTACAGCTGGGTGTGCAAAGTGCCAAGGAGGATGCCACTGGGTTTCAGAAGGAGCCCCAGAAAGGGAGTCAGGCTGCATAAGTTCTAGGACCCCCACCTACTCCGCTGGCCAGCACCACATGTGGTCCCACAGGACTACACTCTCCTCTATAAGCAAAGGAGAACTCTCTGGGGCCCTTTCTAGATCTGAGGTCCTACTAAAAAGGGTGACAACCTCAGCTCTGAACATTAGTTGTTTTATTTCAACTCCAAAGTGGGCTTCTACATCCCGAAACAAATGAAAGAAAATTAAAAGATAAATAAAGCATTCCTGGCATCCATGAAAGCATTTGCTTTCCCTGTTCATGTTATTTCAGTAAATCTAGCAGTGTAGAAAGAGACAAATGAGCGCAGATTACAAGGCAGCACCTGTTCGGAGCCCAAGGTCATTAGATGCCATTAGCAATGGCATAAAGACACATGCATTTAGGAGATAACGCAGCTCAGTGGGTTATTGCATCCTTCCTTCTTGACACCTTGTCGGCTGCTCTCACAGACCTGCTTCAGTCTCAGAGCCCAGACAATAGCACTAAACACGGCAAGGGCGTTAGCTGCAAGAGGCTGAAATTGGCTGAACCTGAAATATGAGTAAAGTCTTTGTATATGCAAAACAGAAATAGCCCTAAAAGGAGACACAACTATTTATCAAAAAGGTGCATACAGAGAATTAAACAAGGCCAGGCCCGGCGGCTCATGCCTGTAATCCCAACACTTTGGGAGGCCAAGGCAGGTGGATCACCTGAGGTCAGGAGTTCAAGACCACCCTGGCCAACATGGAGAATGCCGTCTCTACTAAAAATACAAAAATTAGCTGGGTGTGGTGGTGCACACCTGTAATCCCAGCTACTAGGGAGGCTGAGGCTTGAACCCGGGAGGCAATGGAGGTTGCAGTGAGCCAAGATCGTGCCACTGCACTCCAGCCTGGGAGACAGAGCGAGATTCCATCTCAAAAACAAAAAACAAAGAATTAAACAAATGATGAGTTGATAGCCCGAAAAGAAGAAAAGATGCTCTATGCAAAAATAAATAAATAAAAAGTCACTGAGAACTAGCAGCAGATGATAGGCAGAAAAGTGGAGTAGTTAAGACAACAGGCTTTGGTGTCAGGCACACTGGCTTTGAATTCTAGCCTCCACCACCCACAAGCTGGGTAAATGTGGGCGAGTAGTTTAATCTATCTGAGTGCCACCATTTTTAAAAATCTGTAGAATAGTAACAGCAATAACTACCTCAAAGAGTTGTTGGGCTAATTCAGGCATTCATTCACTTGATGATCACTGATTATGATCAGTGAGCTTCTAGGTGTGACAGGCCCAGTTTTAAACACTGGAAATACACAAGTGACAGATGTAAGCATGGGCTCTGCTTCCACAGACTTAACATCACTCTCAAATTTTAGTGAAATGAGAAAGACAAACAAGTATGTGTAAGTGCAATAAGGAAAAATTAAACCGGTGAAGGGGATAAAAACTGATGAGGGTGTTATTTTAGAGTAATGCAAAGACCCTGAGGGAGGAACATGTTTGCATTAAACGGTAAGGAGCTTAGCTCAGGGCTCATAAAACCATGTGCTCTAGGAGATGGTGATGATGATGATGACCATGGTGGTGGTGGTGGTGGTTGGTGGTGGTCTCATAACGATAACCAAACAAGCAAAGAGTACAAGGGATGTGCGAATAGGTACAGCCCACATTAAGTAAAGAAATGAACTGACAAAATTAGTATCGAACACAGGAAGTACTAATTAGAATCTTGACTAATTTTCATTTATTAAAGACTGCAGTTCTATTTTTAGTTATATCCTTCAATCTAACATCATTCAAGAAAAGCTTCTCTCCAAAAATTCTATTTCAGGAATGTAAATTTTTAAAAGTAAGAGTGTTCTGCATGCATGATTTCTTTTTACCCAGCCATCTTTCTGTTGGTTTTTAGCCTGCCAGTAGTGTGTATGTGATATTTTAAAGACTTACTATGCAGGGTACTTAGAAATTTCATATGAGCATTTAAAATGGCAGAAATAGCTGGTAGCTTTCATTTCCACATGTACTCTCAGAACAGAGAAAAACGAGTTCTAATCCATGTCTTTCTAAGCTTCTAGCCTTTTTTTTTTAACTGTCTCAGGGTGAAATTCCACTTTACTTGTTTAATGATGCATACTTTTGAAATTTTACAAAAATAATCATTCATATTTTGAATTTTTCTGCAACGTAACTTTTTTGGCTTCATATCAGGTTACTGAAATGTATCTATATTGCTCCTATATAGTTTTAGATCATTCACTTTCATTGTTGTATTGTGTTCTGTCATTTGATCATATCATAATTTGTTTATTTCACTTTAATAAACATTCAAGTAGTTTGGGTTTATTTTTTTAAACCATTATTAACACAAATAAAGCTGTGCTGGAGAGCCTCCATGTCTCGTGGTATACAGTACAGAAGTCTCTAGGAAACACCTAGAAGGAAAATTGCTGAGTCACAGGGTATACACATTTGTTTTTGTTAACTGGATAATACCTAACTGTCTTTCTAAATGGTTGTACCAATGAATATTCCTATCAGCAGTACATAAACATGAAATGCCATTTTTCAAACTTGGACCAAAATATTCATTACTGGGAACTCCAGATCTCAAATAAGTCAAGTGTCAGTTCCATCTATCGCTTTGGTCAATTTCAAACTGTTCTTTGAACAAATCCAGACTTGAAGAAATTTCCATTCTGTTAAATTTCTAGCCAACTCATCACAATCAACTACGCAAGCAAACAATACCCCATAAGAACAACAATAAGTAATCACATATTGCTGGCTCCAGGAAGCAAAATGAAGACATTTAAATTAAAGCAAACATGCTTACAAAAATATTCTGGCTATCTCAATTAATCTGAACCAAACTAAGAATAATCTAGATATTTCCCCCAATCTTCTGTTCCCATTTAGTTCATGGCATTTTTATAACGGGACTTGCCAGATAAGAAGCATGTGTGTGTCTGAGAACTAAGGAAAAAAGGATTGGTTTTACTGTCTCTTCAAAAACATATCCGATGTGAATAGACTAAAAACCATTCAATTCTGCAGTTTGTGAATTATATCCCCAGAAAGCTGGTATTAATAATATAGCAGCTAAGTGAAATAAGCCAGTCATAAAAGGACAAATACTGTATGATTCACCCTCTATGAGGTATCTAGAGTAGACATTGTCATAGAAATGGAAAAGCAGTTGCCAAGGGCTTGGGGGAGAAGGGAAAAGAAGAGTTGCTATTTAATGGGTAGAATTTCAATTTTGCAAAATAAAAAGAGTTCTGGGTTGGGCGTGGTGGCTCGCACCTGTAATCCCAGCACTTTGGGAGGCCGAGGTGGGCAGATCACCTGAGGTCAGGAGTTTGAGACCAACCTGGCCAACATGGTGAAACCCTGTCTCTACTAAAAATACAGAAATTAGCCAGGCGTCGTGGCAGGTTCCTGTAATCCCAGCTACTTGGGAGGCTGGGGCAGGAGGATCACTTGAACCCAGGAAGCAGAGGTTGCAGTGAACTGAGATCACACCATCACACTCCAGCCTGGGGGATGAGAGCGAGACTTTGTCTCAAGAAAAAAAAAAAAAAAAAAGAGTTCTGGAGATGGATGGTGGTGACAGTTGTACAACAATGTGAATTCAGTTAATACCACTGAATGTACACTTGATGGTGAAGACGGTCAATTTTATAGTGTATGCCTTTTGCCACAATGTATGGTTTATTTATTTACTTAAAAGCAAAAGTGGCGGTGTTTTGTTTCAGTATTAGGTCGGGTTCAAGCAAACAGAAGGGTTATTCCTTCATAATCATATACATTCTGCACCATAGATTGAGCATTGCACCATTTTTTTATTTTTATAAGCTATACCAAATTTCAGTGCACAAATGCTATAACAGCACATACTGTGGGTGAGAATATAAAAAATTGTGAAAGTCTAAAGTTACTGCTCACATTGCAACCTTGACACAACGACTCTGCAAAAACAAGGGCTTAAATTTAACTGAATATGCCACAATTCAGAAAATGCTACTACCATATGCCCGAGGGGACTGAGTCACACTTGCAGTTTAACTTCAACTCCTGAATTTTTTGACTTCTGTATGTTTAAATTCTCATCAAACTGCAGCTTCAACCTTTGTTTCTGCCACTGATCGCAGAATGCATCGCTTATCATTTGACGTAATCTCTACCATGAAATACTTGTTTTTGAACAGCCTAAGGTTCGGAGGACACTTTTTTAAATGTTAAATAAAAAACTGTCAACGATTACTGGGAATGGAAAAACAGCCAAGCCTCTTTGATGCCATCCTTATGCCTAGAAAAATCTTCCCACTCCCACTCCCACATCGATCAAGTGAGCTGCATCTCTTCCTTCTTTCAAAGTTCACCTTAATTCACTTCTCTATGATTCTATAATGAAGGCAGCTGTGATTACAGCAGAAGTGAAGAAGAGAGTACTACCTACCCTGGGAGCAAGTTAATTTATGGCCATAGGCCCACTAGGGATACACTGAACGAACTACATTTTTTAATGTATGTCTATGCAATAACCTGTATATGATTTTTCCATCATTAAGAATCTTCAACAGTCCCAGATGCAAGGAAGACAGGCCATCCTGGAGGGGGCTAGGGATTTAGGGATGGCATTCCTATTATTTACAAGGCGCTGAGTTAGACAGACCATGTGTGACCATGGTGTTCCTGCTCAGAAGCTTACAATCGCTTTGGAGAGGCAAGGCATTTATCATGCACAGAGAGCTGATAATAGCAGGCAATTTTTCAATCAGCATACATTTATTCAGCAAATATTTACTGAAGACCTACTAAATGCCAGGCACGATGCCAGACATTAGGGACAAAAATATGACTAAGATGTGGTCCCAGCAGAGAAACAGATGGGGTTCCGTATAGTAACCATGTTATCAAGGAGTCATCAGAATGCTACTAGATGATAAAAATAGCAGCTTTCCCCTCTTCGAAAAATGCAGAGTACACATAACTAATCCAGTCACTGAGTGAGCATTCTGGCAATGAAAAAACATATTTGGAATGAGAATAGTGATCTTCAGAACTCTAGGTACCAAGCATTCCAGATACATAAATGTTCTGATCCCCTTGAGTGGCAATTGACCGGCTGACACTGAGGCAAACTTGCCACCATGGAAGATGTGAATTAAAACGAGTGATTGTACTAAGGTATAGAAATGGCACTCGTACTTCCTGTTTCATAACAGTCCTCACAAGACCCTTTTTAAATGTCTGCCTTTCCTGATAGACTGCAACCTGAAAAAAAGGAAGGAACTGGGTCTCTTTTATTTACAGTTTTCCCCAGTGCCTAGTACAACGCCTGACACATAGTAAGCAATTAAAAACATTTATGGCACTAGAATTTTCAATTAGCTGGCTGCATATTATTGCAAAGTTAACATCTGAAAAGGCTATTAAAATGGTCATGTAAAGACTTGGTAACCAATATAATCTAGTTTAATAATATTTATTTATTTACTTTATTTCTTGTTTTTGAGTCAGGGTCTTCCTCTGTTGCCCAGGCTGGAGTGCAGTGGTGCATGTGATCTTAGCTCACTGCAACCTCTCTGCCTCCCAGGTTCAAGTGATTCTCCTGCCTCAGCCTCCCAAGCAGCTGGGATTACAGGCACGCACCACCATGCCCAGCTAATTTTTGTTTTTTTAGTAGAGACGGGGTTTCACCATGTTGGCCAGGCTGTTCACGAACTCCTGACCTCAGATGATGTGCCCACCCACCTCGGCCTCCCAAAGTACTGAGATTACAGGCATGAGCCACTGCGCCCAGCTGGTTTAATCATACTTAATCAACTAATGAATCAAGTTAACTTATGGATACTGTTACTGGCTGAATTTTTTCCCCCCACAACCACTCAAAATTCATGTGTTGAAGCCCTAACTTCCAGTTTCTCAGAATATAACTGTATTTGGAAATTGGACCTTTTGAGAGGTAATTAAAACAAAATAAGGTCATATGAAAGGGCCCTATTCCACTATGACTGGTGTCCTTGTAACAGGAGACTGGGACACAGACTTGGAGGGAAGCCCACGAGAGGACACAGGGGGAAGATGGCCATCTGCAAGCCAAGGAGAAGGACTTCAGAAGGAACCAACTTTCCTGACACTTTCATTTCAAACTTACTGTCTCTAGAATCATAAGAAAATAAGTTTGTGCTGTTTAAGCCACTCAGTCTGGGTTACTTTGTTATGGTAGACCTCGCAAACTGACAGATACTAAGCCCTTGTTTGAGATGGAGCTGTGGCCCTATAAATGGCTATTTTAGAAAGACAATGTGAACTGGCAGCAACGGTACTGGAACAGGAATGAGGAGTCCATATGTCCACTTCTGGTTCCAGTCTGACTTCTTGGTCAAGCCATTTTTACTTCTCTGAGTCTCTTTCCTCCTTTAAATATAGAAGTTTAGATCACATGAGCTCTGAGTTTCAGGTGACCTAGAACTGTATGGTTCTATGCAGCAAACTCAATGTTACCTTCTAAGATGTGAGAGATGGCACAGAGGTGTGTCTGTTTTTCCCTGGCTACACTGAGCCACTGGCAGTAGGCCTCCCAAACACTTCCCATCTGCTTCTTGAACCATTTCATACATATCACCCAACATCCCATTAAAGACAGGGTCCTCGGCCAGGCGCGGTGGCTCACACTTGTAATCCCAGCACTTTGGGAGGCCGAGGTGGGCGGGTCACGAGGTCAGGAGTTTGAGACCTGCCTGGCCAACATGGTGAAATCCCATCTCTACTAAAAATACAAACATTAGCCGGGTGTGGTGGCTCACGCCTGTCATACTAGCTACTCGGGAGGCTGAGGCAGGAGAATCGCTTGAACCTGGGAGGCAGAGGCTGCAGTGAGCTGAGATCATGCCACTGCACTCCAGCCTGGGTGGCAGAGCAAGACTCCATCTCAAAGCAAACAAACAAACAAAAAAACAGGATCCTCTCTCAGCAAGTCTCCTATCACAAAAGGAATACACATCACAACGCAGCCCTGCTGGACCACCCCAGCTCTAAGGGGGAGGTCAACTTGTGAGCAATAAGTCGAAGCAACATGAAGAAGAAACAAGGACAAGGTGAAGAATGGCTCCATACATTGTATAATTTTCATCTATTCCAACCAGAAAAGAGCTGCTCATTCTGATCAAAGATGTTAATGAGCCCTGCAAACAGAAATTACTACAATAGAACAGTAGACACCTTCATTAATTATTTTCTCCTGCAATATTAGCACTAATGATTAGAAAATCTTCAATAGCAGCACAAATAAAAATAAACAGACACCAATCCTTGGTACAGCCTCCGTACAGATCCATACTGGACTGTTCATTCAGCACCCAGTATTCTGGAATTTGCCTATTAATGCAGGTGGAAGCAGTCCTGTTCATACAATATGACCCAAACTCCAAATTCAATGTGAATTTTTGGTTTTGATTTTTGGTTTATTTGTTTGTTTTGTTTTGTTTCCCCAAGGCCCAGCCGTGCCCGTCCCTAAAATCCATGGGATATCCACGTGCCCTCATCAAAATCCCCGTTTCTTAGAAGCTCCCTCTAGTGAGTTACTTTTACTGGCAATAAAGAATACTAATTAGCAAAACCATATTTCACACACAAACAAATGCATTAGGATAGTCTTTAAAATAACCTATTTCTTAAGCTTTTATTTTAGGTTCAGGGGTACATGTGCAGGTTTATTAAATAGATAAACTCATGCCATGGGGGTTTGTTGTACAGATGGTTTCGTCACCCAGATACTAAGCCTAGTACCCAATAATTGTTTTTTCTGCTCCTCTTCCTCCTCCACCCTCTACCCTCAAGTAGGACCCAGTGTCTGCTGTTCCCTTCTTTGTGTCCATGAGTTCTCATCATTTAGCTCCCACTTGTAAGTGAGAACATGCAGTATTTAGTTTTTTGTTCCTGTGATAGTTTGCTAAGGATAATGGCCTCCAGCTCCTTCCATACTCCTGCAAAAGACATGATCTCATTCCTTTTTTATGGCTGCATAGTATTCCATGGTAATATGTACCACATTTTTTTTGTCCAATCTGTCATTGATGGGCATTTAGGTTGATTCTGTGTCTTTGCTACTGTGAATAGTGCTGCAATGAACATTTGCGTGCATGTGTCTAAATTTATGGTAGAATGATTTATATTCCTCTGGGTAGATACCCAGTAATGGGATTGCTGGGTCGAATGGTAGTTCTGCTTTTAGCTCTTTGCAGAATTGCCACACTGCCTTCCACAATGGCTGAACTAATTTGTACACTCACCAACAGTGTATAAGTGTTCCCTTTCTCCGCAACCTCATCAGCATCCAACTGGTTATTTTTTGACTTTTTAACAACAGCCATTCTGACTGGTATGAGATAGTATCTCATTGTGCTTTTGATTTGCGTTGCTCTAATGACCAGCGATATTGAGCTGCTTTTCATATTCTTATTGGCCATATGTCTTCTTTTGAAAAGTGTCTGTTCATGTCCTTTGCTCACTTTTTCATGGGGTTGAAAGTAACCTTCTCCCCGCCTCCCCCTGAGGCAGAGTCATGCTCTGTCACCCAGGCTGGAGCATAGTGGTGCAATCTCGGCTCACTGCAACCTTCGCCTCCCAGGTTCAAGCAATTCTCCTGCCTCAGCCTCCCGCGTAGCTGGGATTACAGGCACTCGCCACCAGCCCAGCTAATTGTTTTTGTATTTTTTAGTAGAGATGGGGTTTCACCATGTTTGCAAGGCTGGTCTCTAACTCCTGACTTTGTGATCTGCCCACCTTGGCCTTTCAAAGTGCTGGGATGAAAATAACCTTTTTAAAAATATATATATTTCGGCCAGGCAAGGTGGCTCATGCCTGTAATCCCTGCACTTTGGGAGGCTGAAGTGGGTGGATCCCCTGAGGTCAGGAGTTCGAGACCATCCTGGCCAACATGATGAAACCCTGTCTCTACTAAAAATACAAAAAACTAGCTGGACGTGGTGGTGTGCGCCTGTAATCCCAGCTACTTGGGAGGCTGAGGCAGGAGAATCGCTTGAACCCAGGAGGCAGAGGTTGCAGTGAGCCGAGATCACACCACTGCACTCCAGCCTGGGCAACAAAAGCAAAACTCCATCTCAAAAAAAAAAAAATTCAAAAATTTCTTAATGTTGCCTTCTTAGAGTCTGTATAACCTTCTTCTGGAAAGGGCAATTTTTTTTAACATCTTGCCCATTTATTAGATATTATAAAGGTTAAGATGAAAATGCTTCCCAAGGGCCTGCCATGTTTTTCCTGTCATATAAATCATGTCTGTACGGGCAGAATCACAAAGCTAGAATGGGTCTGAGGACTCCTCCTCTCAGGCAACTTCCTTCCAACTGTGGGCATTCCCTTGGGTGCCCTCTTACACTCACTGATTCACCCAACATTCACTTGGGCACTTCTGCATTGTATGACTCTCTTGAGGCAAACAGGAAAAACCTGTATCTGCCCTCAAGGGGAGTCCCTCCTAGAGGAGGACACTAGCCATACCGTTGTTATGCTGAAGTTGCGAGGTCCATTTACAGAACCAGCCTTATCACTTAGCAATATAGCCCACATACCCATAAAAAAATTCAAGGGCCTAAGTGAGTGGATGATAATGTGGTCCAAAGGTGTGCACAGACATATGCTGAGTCACTTAGTGGGCTGATCAACAGGGGATTCATGGAGGAAAAGCTAACAGAAGTGACCACTCCAATGCATTGATGATATCAGAGCATGACAGGTCAAGAGAGCCTCCTGCAAGTCATCATCTGCTCAACTGTGAATCGGCATCTGAGAAAATAAGCAACAACCTTACCTCCCAAACACCAACATTAAAGCAATGCATTATTAAAATGGAGGTTCTCAGGTAGTAAATGAACACTTTAAAACTCATGCAATCATAAACATTAGAATATGCAGCAAAGAGATAATGATACTTGTCAGAAGATATTAAGACGACATGGCAATAAAAGGAATCTGTTCACAGAGAGAATGATTCTAAATACAAAATGGTCAGATTGATACTCAGAAGTATTGCTATTAATAGAAATAATATTAGAGAGGTTTCATTATGTAAATGGCTCATGTGTCTGCCAGAAATGTACCCAGTAATAATTTGCATTTCTGCTATAGTGAAAATTTCAGGGATGTCTCTTTGTTGGCTTATGAAGGACCCTTTCATTGGTAAGCCACAGTTTTTATAATCATGATAAGAAGGATCACCTATGCTCTTTGTTGATAATAATAATAACTAATAAGACACTCGTGTGTGCCTGGCACTGCGCTGACTGCCGTATGTGCAGCAGTCCTGTGAGGCAGGATTATTATTCATGTTTTAAAGCTGAGAAAACAGAGGCTTAGGTCAACTTTCCCAGGGTCTTAAAGACGATAAATTATGGAGGCTGGATTTGAACTTGAGTCTTTCTGACTCCATGCCCACTCTCCTTCCACTTGCAGCGTAAACACAGTGGCTCAAACTCTGTGGCTTCATGAATATAATGTTTCACAGGGTATGCAGTGATCTTATAAGTAGAAATGGGTCTAGAAAGATGGACACTCCTGGACACTGCATTGCAAATCTCGCTATCTGCTTTCACTCACTGACACCTATATTTGCCCCTTGAGTCCCTTGAATATTGGTGCCACACTCTGCTCAGCTCTTGATATGGTGCAAAGCACTAAAATCACACAGGTGTCACAGCCAAAAATTCTGTATCATTCCAAAGCTGACTTGTCCCCCATCAGTCCCAACTCTGCCCCAGAAGTCTCACTGAAATAAAGTCTCCAGGATACCTGTCTTGCCACTCCTCATTCACATCCTTGGTTTTATGACCCACACTTCTATAGGACTCTCCCTTCTTTAGTTCTAATTATTAAAAGCAGGGTTCTGAAATCCCAAGGTGATTGCAAAACTCCCATCTCAGCCACAAATCTTCATTAGAATGGCTAATCAATAAGAGTTTTGTTTCAGATCCCACCACTTTATTTCCTCTGTATGTTTTTTGAAGAATTTTTCAATTTGCCATGATATAACTAAAACTCAAGCATCAACAGGAAAGAGGAAGAGAAGAGCTCAGAAATAAGCCACTAGTGCTCGAAAATAGGGCATGTGATGTTAGAGCTGGTTTAGAATCCATGCTCCACTGCATCGTAGCTATGGTGGGGCATGGATTCTTATTATTAATTAGTCTCATTCCTTCACTTTTGTCTCACACCACCTGTAAAACAAAAGCAATAATGCTTACTTCATGGGGTAGTGAGGAGGTTTAAATGAGAGGCTACAGCTAATGCTCTTAATGAGATGCCTTCCTTTTCCTCTCTGGCCAGTGAGGGGTGGATCATGTAACAACCTCCTTTCCCTATTCACTCTTCTTCCCCAACTAATCCCCTCAGCCACTGGCACCATGTTCCGCATGTTAGAGGCATCCTTCCTGGGGCAGTGAGACACATCCTGAATCAGCCTTGTCACCCTAAAGGGGACCTTGCAACGTTTGCTCGTGGGTCGACAACACCACACAGAGCTGACATGAGGATGACATGTGACAAGATGACTTAGAGCCTGCTAAATGAACACATGAGCTAAATGCTAGGTACCACTGTGCTTTCCATGAGATTGTTAGGCAGAAGGAAAACACTGAATCTTTGCTCTCCAAAGTTTTGATTTGAATTCACACAGGCAAGATTCTTGTCAATGACCCAGAATCACTTAAGCCCCGAGGGGGCCATGCCACCAGCACAGCAGGGCCAGATCATGAAGCCCCACTGGGATGCGGGGTTGGGGGCTGTAAGGGTCTCGCTGTCAAGATGTGGCCCCACCAGTGCTAAGTTTATAGTGCTCCAAAAGCCAGGAGGGGGGTTAAGAAAAAAAAAATGCAAAAAACAAGAATTACCATGCCACAAACATGAACCTCTACAGAACCTAGAAAATGTGAAATTGGGCCAGGCTCACATCTGTAGTCCCAGCACTTTAGGAGGCAGAGGTGAATGGATCACCTGAGGTCTGGAGTTCGAGACCTCGTCGCTACTAATAACACAAAAAAATTAGCCGGGTGTGGTGGCATGCGCCTGTAATCCCAGCTACTTGGGAGGCTGAGACAGGAGAATCGCTTGAACCTGGGAGGTGGAGGTTGCAGTGAGCCAAGATCACGTCATTGCTCTCTAGCCTGGGCAACAAGAGCAAAACTCCGCCTCAAAAAAAAAAAAAAGAAAAGAAAGAAATGAAAATGTGAAATTGTTAAGACAATTTGGAGTTTAAGGGAAAAGCACATTTTTGAAAGTGGAAAATAGATGAGAAACATAAATACATTTGCTACGCATTGTTACAGTCTGTTATTGATATATGGTCATTTTGTTATAAAGAAACATTTAAAAGGAGGCATGTTTCACCTGTTAACTTGTTTACTTCATAAGATTCTCTTGTTGGGTAGATTTACAGATTTAAGGCACTGCCATAAATCTTTTCAAAACAAGGAAGATTATAAACAAGGTAATTAATTAATTATTTAATTAATTCGGCAAACAAGTCACCCATTGACAAGCCTAGAAAAAAATGCCACCCAATGTTTGTTTTATCAGTTTTCTTTTCCAGTTTTGGAAGGGAAAGCCCTTGAAACAAACATGACCACACGACCCATATGAGTCCTCATTGTAATGTTTTTCCCCAAGCACCCACAATTCCAGGTCCTCCCAATTTGCTTCCAGTTCTTGCCCAAGTTTAAACTCTTAACCAATGCCTACTATCTGCAGCCTCAAAGGGAGCTGAGTACTTGCCAACAGACACCGCCACCTCCCCTCCCTGAGGTTCCTGCCTTGCGAGAGTGTGTCATGTGGCTGCCAGGGCAAGGCAGAAGTGTAGGAAAAGGCACATCTCACAGGTTGTCCAGGAGGATTAGAGCAAATATGTCCAGAGCAGTTTCAAGTTGACTATAGAACCAAGGCTCCGAGCTAATTAATAGAAAGTGAAGCAATGATAGTGACAGCTCAAGGCAAGGGTGTGAAGCTCATGTCATTCGGTAAAGACAGTCCAAGGAAAAAGGACATTTACGCTTGCACCTTATTTGCTTTGCAGACTAACACATTTCTGTTAGAAATATGTCTTTACACTCCAGAGAGATGTTACAAGGTGTCGGCCTGCTACTAATTACAGCAAGCCCGCACTACAGCTAACAATATAACTCTAAATTCACTTGCTTCTGATTACCTACCTGTCATATGAAAGGCTATTCTTCACTCCAGTTGAACAAACCTATTAGATGTCTGGTTTCTTGATGTTTAACTCTCACAAGCAATTATCTCCAGCTTGAAATGCCCTTTTGTCTTCTTTATACAATCACTACTCTTTCTTCTTAGAAAACACAGTTTAAACCACTTCCTCCCTTAATCCATCTAAACTAACCCCATCTAGTTCTGGCATCCATGCAATCAATAGATTTAGCATTTACTTAGCAAGCACTACCATGGATTTCTCTGTAATGAAAAAGTTAATCCTACATATGCCTTATATGTAATCTTGAGCAGGTTCTCCTCTTTTCTGGGCCTCGGTTTTCTCATCTGTAGGAGGATAATACTCCCTACCTCATAGGGTTGTTTCTGAGAATTAAACATTTATTTTTAAAAAAACAGCTTTATTAAGATTTAATTTACATATAACTCAAGTGTATAACTCAAATGTTTTTTAGTATAGTCACTGTTTTGTAAAACCAACATCACAATCTAATTTTAGATTTTCTTCTCCAAAAAAGAAACCCTGTGTACATTAGCAGTCACTCTGCATTCCTCTCCCACCTCCGGCCTCTGCAACCCCCAAACTAACTTCTGTCTCTATGGATTTGTCTATTCTGGACCTTTCATATAAATGAAATTGAAGTATGTGGTCTCTCAATTCACATGATGTTTTGAGGTTCATCTATGTTGTAGCATGTATTAATACTTTGCTTACTGGTTGTTTTTTTCCTGATCAATATTCCATTAAACATTTATTTTGCGTGTGTGTGTGTGAGGAGGATACATATTTCATGAGTGCAGAGTGCTCAGCTCAGTACTTGGAGACACAGCACTCTGAAAATGTCTGTAGCTTTCATTACCATTGGCATTATTACTATCGTTTTGTCACTTTTGTTTACAATTGCACTGGTCTCCACCAGTTGATTATTAAGCTCTAGAGCAGGGGTTCCCAACCCCTGGGCTACAGACCTCCTGCACAACAGGAGGTGAGCAGTAGGCGAATGAGCAAAGCTTCATCTGTATTTACAGCCACTCCCCATTGTTCAAATTACCACCTGAGCTCTGCCTCCTGTCAGGTCAGCAACGGCATGAGATTCTCATAGGAGCGTGAACCCTATTGTGAACTGCACATGTGAGGGATGTAGGTTGCACCCTCTTTATGAGAATCTAATGCCTGATGATCTGTCACTGTCTCCCATCACCCCTAGATGGGACCGTTTTGTTGCAGGAAAACAAGCTCAAGGATCTCACTGATTCTACATTATGGTGAGTTGCATAATTATTTCATTATATATTACAACATAATAATATAAATAAAGTGCACAATGAATATAAATGCATTTGAATCATCCCAAAACCATCCCCCGCTCCACCCTAGTCTGTGGAAAAACTGTCTTCCATGAAACCAGTCCCTGGTGCCAAAAAGGTTAGGGACCACTGGTCTAGAGAGAAGGAGCTCTTCTTACACACTGCCCAGAAACTGAGGATGTGACAGAAGTTCAACGAGAGCTAACTAAACAACTAAGTAGCAACCTGACAAGGGCTCAGACAGCTCCAACTAAACCTACACTGCTGCTGCCGCTTACAAAAGCTCATTCATATGTGTGAGTTCAGGCAAAAACACAGTCGTTATCTGATTCTTTAGGCAGGACATTGACCAGATAAATAAATATGTCTGAATCTGCAGAGAAATAATTTCAAAAGGGCTTCAGAAGGAGAAGGAAAATCCACTGTAGCCAGAAGCATCCAAAAGCATCCTGAAAACATGAGTGGAGGAAGGCTGAGCAGGTGTGGGCTGGGGAGGCAGGCAACCCCGCACAGCAGCCAGCACAAACACAAAGCGACGACGCCCACTGTGCTGGGGAAGCACAGGCAGCACAGTCCGTGCAAGGGAAACGCGGCTCCCTACAAGGTGTTTTCAAGGTTCCGGTTTCCCCAGAGCACAACCCTAACCTCAGGCAGTGCACAGTTCTCCCAATAAAAGTCACTCGCCCGTGGAGATCACCGAACACCTGAATTGACACCACGGGCACTTCCAACCTGTGTTCCTGACCACCCTCCCCATGACCTGCCTCCCTTACATCATTTCTGTTTTCCTTTCCCATGGTCCTGTGACTTCTCTTACTCTTTCAAATGCAAAATGTCACAGCTGAAGGGAAGGAACCTCCAAGGATGATCTGGGCTACTGCTTTCTTCTTCATAGGGGAGGAAACTGAGATTCCAGAGAGGTTGGTAACTTTCCCAAGGTTACAAAATTAGCAGTGCAGCCGGAACTGAAACCTACATTGTGTGACCACTCTCCTCCTCCCAAAGCAATTTAGTTTCCAACTGGACCTCATCTGCCTACTTGTTTCTCCCCCAGCCCCCAGGCAGCCCTTCACTGTGGCTGCTGAGTCATCAGGATGAGCTTTGTTCTCAAGCAAGCCACTGGGACAGGCCCTCATGTCTTGAGTAGGACAAAGTATATTTGGCCACTCCCCACTTTGTGGTCACCCTGCTCTGCCTGATGCATGGGCACCTTCTGCCCATGACAACTGTCATTCGCCCTGAATAGTCTATGCCATCACACCTCCTTATGGCTACTAACATAAAAGGTAAGTGACTAATAAATGGTATCATGAATTAATATGAAACCTTTTATACAGACAAATATTTGATTCCTCAGTTATATTTTCTTGGGATCTTTTCTTCCCAGGTCATAGCAGTGCTGTTTCAACAGGAAATGTCATAGCTTGAATGCCAGGTGCACTTTAAAAAATAATCTAAACTAAATTAGCTTTTACACCTAACGACGGCCTGGGAATAATAAAGGAACTCTTTGAAAAAGGAAGAAAGTGGAGAAATAGGAACACTTTTACACTGTTGGTGGGCCTGCAAACTAGTTCAACCATTGTGGAAGACAGTGTGGCGATTCCTCAAGGATCTAGAACTAGAAATACCATTTGACCCAGCCATCCCATTACTGGGGATATACCCAAAGGATTATAAATCATGCTGCTATAAAGGCACATGCGCACGTATGTTTATTGCGGCACTATTCACAATAGCAAAGACTTGGAACCAACCCAAATGTCCATCAATGATAGACTGGATTAAGAAAATGTGGCACATATACACCATGGAATACTATGTAGCCATAAAAAAGGATGAGTTCATGTCCTTTGTTGGGACATGGATGAAGCTGGAAACCATCATTCTCAGCAAATTATCGCAAGGACAAAAAACCAAACACCGCATGTTCTCACTCATAGGTGGGAATTGAACAATGAGAACACTTGGTCACAGGAAGGGGAACATCGCACACCGGGGCCTGTCATGGAGTGGGGGGAGGGGGGAGGGAAAGCTTTAGGAGATATACCTAATGTAAATGATGAGTTAATGGGTGCAGCACACCAACATGATACATGTATACATATGTAACAAACCTGCACATTGTGCACATGTACCCTAGAACTTAAAGTATAATAAAAAATAAATAAAATAAAATAAAAAAAGAAAAAGGAAGAAAGAAACTAATTGAGCACACTAGAAGTCAACAGCTGTTTCTCCAATTAGAGTCACCTATAACAAGTGAATTCTTAGCAGGGAAAATCACCTTAAAATATCCATGTCGAGTTAGGAAAAAATGTTTCATAAAATAGCTATTAAATTAATTTTCTTGAATTGGCATGGGACAAGAAGCTATATAGTTCAGTTCTGCTAAACACCTAAAAAACTCTGATATACTACAGCTACGCCAGGCAAATCGCAAGTTGTTGGGGGGCGATTCCCAGAAATATGTGAATCACGATTGTGACTCATCAGTTTGGGAAATTTAGGACATGATCACTATCAGTCAAACATGATATTATTATCTGCCAAATGTCCAAGATATAAATTTCCTTGGAAACAGCTGGCAGAGGTAGGCATAGCCCTTTAATTTTCCTAATTTGTGGGCTAGCAGATTTTTTGGAATTTCACATACTAGTATGAAAGAGAAATAAATATGTTTTAATTAATGCATACATATGCACAGTTTAAACATATTCATAATCAGGGGTGGATCCAGTCTGTGAGGTCTGCAGTTTATAAAACTAGTCAAGGGGTAGAGGAGTGTGTATGGGGTGTTAGGGTCTTTAAGAAAAGATCTCAAAGGCCAGCCATGGTCACTCACGCCTGTAATCCCAGAACTTTGGGAGGCTGAAGTGGAGGATCGCTTGAGCCCAGGAGTTCAAGACAAAACTGGGCAACATAGTGAGACCCCCATCTCTACAAAAAAATACAAAAATTAGCTGAGCATGGTGGCATATGTATCTGCTCACAGCTACTCAGAAGGCTCAGGTGGGAGGATCACTTGAGCCTGGGAGGTTGAGGCTGCAGTGAGCCAAGATCACAACACTGCAATCCAGCCTGGATGACAGAGCTAGACGCTGCCTCAAAAAAAAAAAAAAAAAAAAAAACTGCACAAAATTATCAACATAAAATTAGGTACAGGGTCTTACAAAGGGCCTGCAGGAGCGAGACGCCTTGACGCTGAAGTGTCACTAGCTTCCAGATAAAACCTCCTGGCCCACAATGCATGCACACATCACAGTGGTGGGAACACCTATAAATGACCAAGATCAACATATTTCATTATAATTCCCTTCAATGCCAAGTATATGGTAAACACTTTAGTATACATTTTTGCTGAGTACACGTGACTAAATAGAAATGTTTACAAATTATGTTGTCGAGCTGTTAAATGAATTCCAATATGTGGCTTTACTACCTCATCAGGAAAACCTGTATCCCACAGTCATTTATCAGGCAGCAATGTCTAGCTTATGGAAACCCATCTGCAGGTTCCTAAGCAAGTAGCCCAGATTAATATCATAGTGCAGCTAGTCGGTGGCTATAATTAAATGCAGAAGTGGTATTGAGAGGTGAAGCCAGCTGGACTTCTTGGGTCGAGTGGGGACTTGGAGAACTTTTCTGTCTTACAAGGGGATTGTAAAATGCACCAATGAGTGCTCTGTAAAAACACACCAATCAGCGCTCTGTAGCTAGCTTGAGGTTTGTAAAATGGACCAATCAGCACTCTGTAAAATGGACCAATCAGTGCTCTGTAGAATGGACCAATCAGCAGGACATGGGCAGGGACAAATAAGGGAATAAAAGCTGGCCACGCCAGCCAGCAGAGACAACCCGCTCGGGTCCCCTTCCACGCTGTGGAAGGTTTGTTCTTTCGCTCCTCACAATAAATCTTGCTACTGCTCGCTCTTTGGGTCCCTACCATCTTTAAGAGCTGTAACACTCACTGTGAAGGTCCGTGGCTCCATTCTTGAAGTCAGCAAGACCACAAACCTATCGGAAGGAACCAACTCCAGACACAGGCTCACCGCAACCTCCACCTCCTAGGTTCAAGCGATTCTCCTGCCTCAGCCGCCTAAGTAGCTGGGATTACAGGCATGCCCCACCACACCCGGCTAATTTTGTATTTTTAGTAGAGATGGGGTTTCTCCATGTTGGTCAGGCTGGTTCTTGAACTCCCAACCTCAGGTGATTCGCCTGCCTCAGCTTCCCAAGGTGCTGGGATTACAGGCCTGAGCCATTGCGCCCGGCCCCTGGGTTTCTTTCTTAAGGCTTTTGGAGCTCCAAGGGGCCAGGGAAGTGCAGCTTCAACCAGCAGCAGCCATTGTTCTAACAGAAATCTGAAAATAACACATTCACTCTGACATGCCAACTCACTACTTTTAATTGTGGCTCATTAAAGATGTAAATAGAAGAATTATGTTCACCTCTACTACAATTTCATTGCTGCAGTAAAATTACAATGTTTCCTTCTATGCAGAAAGAAATACTTCTTCTCTGAGTAATAGCACCAGAAGTGGAGGCCTATGATTCACCAATTCTCCAACAGTAGGCATCACATGTGACTGCCTGTTGTTGGACAGAGGCAGATGGACAGAACGTTATTTTTTTTTAATGAAAAGAAAGGACACATCAGTTGAAAGATGCAACAGGCGCATCTCATTTTATTGCATTTCACTTTGTTGTCCTTTGCAGATACTGCATTTTTTTTTCAAATTGAAGTTCTGTGGCAACCCCGTGTCAAGCAACTCCACCAGCATCACCTCTCCAACAGCATGTGCTCATGTTGAGCCTCTGCCACATTTCGGTAATACAGTATTTCAAACTTTTGCGCTGTTATATCTGTTATGGTGATCTGAGATCAGTGCTCTTTGACGTTACTATTATAATTGTTTTGTTCACCATGAACCACACACCCCATATAAGGTAATGAACTTAATCAGTAAATGTCATGTGTGTTCTGACTGCTACAAAGACTGGCTGTTCTCTCTCCCTCCTCTCGGGCCTCCTTGTTTCCTCAGACACAAGAATATTGAAGTTGGCCAGGCACGGGGGCTCACGCCTGTAATCCCAGCACTTTGGGAGGCCAAGGTGGGCAGATCACGAGTTCAGGAGATCAAGACCATCCTGGCTAACATGGTGAAACTCAATCTCTACTAAAAATACAAAAAGTTAGCCGGACGTAGTGGCGGGTGCCTGTAGTCTCAGCTATTCGGGAGGCTGAGGCAGGAGAATGGCGTGAACCCGGGAGGCGGAGCTTGCAGTAAGCAGAGATCGTGCCACTGCACTCAAGCCTGGGTGACAGAGCGAGACTCTGTCTCAAAAAAGAAAAAAAAAAAAGAATATTGAAATTAGGCCAATTAATAACCCTAAAATAGCCGCTAAGCATTCAAGTGAAAGGAAGAGTGAGTCACATACCTCTCAATTTAAATAAGAAAACTAGAAATGATTAAGCTTAGCGAGGAAGGCATGTTGAAAGCTGACATATGTCAAAAGCCAGGCTTCTTGTGACTGAAGGGTTAGCCAAGCTGTGAATGCTAAGGAAAAGTTCTTGAAGAAAATTAAAAGTGCTACTCCAGTGAACTCATCAATGGTAAGAAAGTGAAACAGCCTTGTTGCTGATATGGACAAAGTTAGAGTGGTCTGAATAGAAAAGCAAACCAGCCATACATTCCCTTAAGCCAAAGCCTAATCCAGATCAAGGCCCTAACTCTCTTCACTTCTATGAAGGCTGAGAGAGGTGAGGAACTTGGAGAAGAAAAGTTTGAAGCTAGCAGAAGTTGGTTCGTGAGATTTAAGGAAAGAAATCTTCTCCAAATGCTGATGTAGAAGCTGCAGCAGGTTATCCAGAAAATTTAACTAAGATCATTGATGAAGGTGACTACAGATTTTTCAACGTAGGCAAAGCAGCCTTCTATTGGAAGAAAATGCCATTTAAGACTTTCATAGCTAGAGAGGAGAAGTCAATGCTTGACTACAAAGCTTCAAAGGAGAGGCTGACTCTCTTGTTACGGGCAAATGCAGCTAGTGACTTTAGTTGAAGCCAATGCTCATTTACCATTCCAAAAATCCTAGAGCCCTAATAATTATGCTGAATCTACTCTGCCAGTGCTATAGAAATGGAACAACAAAGCCTGGATGAAAGCACATTGGGTTACTAAATACTTTAAGCCCACTGTTGAGACTTAATTGCTCAGAAAAAGATTCCTTTCAAAATATTACTGCTTATTGACAATGCACTTCGTCACTCATCTAAGAGCTCTGATGGAAATATACAAGGAGATTCATGTCGTTTTCACGCCTGCTAACACAACACCCATTCTGCAACCCATGGATCAAGGAGTAATTTTTATTTTCAAGTCTTCTTATTTAAGAAATACATTCTGTAAGGCTATCATTGCCACAGAAAGTAATTCCTCTGATGGATCTGGGAAAAGTAAATTGAAAACCTCCTGGAAAGGATTCACCATTGTAGATGTCATTAAGAACATTTGATTCATGGGAAGAGGTCAAAATATCAACATGAACATCAGTTTGGAAGAAGTTGATTCCAACCCCCATGGATGACTTGAGGGTTTCAAGACTTCGGTGGAGGAAGGAACTGCAGATGAGGTGGAAACAGCAAGAGAACCAGAATTAGAAATGGAGCCTGAAAATGTGACTGAATTGATTGCTGCAATCTCATGATCAAACTTCAGCAGATGAGGAGTTGCCTCTATGGAGGAGCAAAGAAAGTGGTTTCATGGCCGGGCACAGTGGCTCACGCTTGTAATCTCAGCACTTTGGGAGGCCGAGGCAGGGGAATCACAAGGTCCGGAGATAGAGGCCATCCTGGCTAACACAGCTAACATTGTGAAACCCATCTCTACTAAAAATACAAAAAATTAGCCCAGCGTGGTGGTGCGCACCTGTAGTCCCAGCTACTCAGGAGGCTGAGGCAGGAGAATTGTTTGAACCTGGGAGGTGGAGGTTGCAGTGAGCCGAGATCGCGCCACTGCACTCCAGCCTGGGTGACAGAACGAGACTCCGTCTCAAAACAAACAAACAAACAAACAAAAAAACCAGTGGTTTCATGAGATGTAATCTACTCCTGATGAAGATACTGTGAACACTGTTAAAATGACAACAAAGGATTTGAAATATTACATAAACTTAATTGATGCAGTGACAGGTTTGAGAGGACTGACTCTAACTTTGAAAGTTCTACTATGGGTAAAATGCTCTCAAACAATGGTGCATACTACAGAGAAATCTTTCATGAAAGGAAGAGTCAATAAATGTGGCAAACGTCATTGTTGTCTAATTTTAAGAAATTGCCACCGCCACCCCAGCTTTCAGCAACCACCTCCCTAAATCAGTCAGCAGCCATCAACGTAAAGACCCTTTACCAACAAAACGATTATGGTTCAATGAAGATGATCGTTAACAGTTTTTAGCAATAAAGCATTTTAAAATTAAGGTATGTACTTTTGTTTAGACAAAATGTTATTGGATAATTAATAGACTATAGTATGGTGTAAACATAACTTATATGCACTGGAAAACCAAAAAATTTGTGTGATTTGCTGTATTGCAATACTTGCTTTACTGCTGTGGTCTATAAGTGAACCCAAAATATCTCTGAGTGTCCAGGCACAGTGGCTCATGCCTGTAATCCCAGCACTTTGGGAGGCTGAGGTGGGTGGATCACCTGGGGTCAGGAGTTCGAGACCAGCCTCACCAATATGGTGAAACCCCATCTCTACTAAAAATACAAAAATTAGCTGGGCATGGTGGCAGGCACCTATAGTCCCAGCTACTTGGGAGGCTTGAACCCAGGAGGCGGAGCTTGCAGTGAGCAGAGATCGTGCCACTGCACTCCAGCCTGGCAACAAAGCAAGACTCCCAACTCAAAAAAAAAAAAAAAAGACACAATATCTCTGAGCTATGCCTGTGTCTAAAAAATTCTGAACTCTTCCTAACAGGCACTACAGAAATGTAAGCCTGGCCAGCTGCGGTGGCTCACGCCTGTAATTCCAGCACTTTGAGAGGCCAAGACGGGTAGACTGCTTGAGCCCAGGAGTTTAAGACAAGCCTGGGCAACATGATGAAACCTCGTCTCTACAAAAAATACAAAAATTAGCCAGGTGTTGTCGTGCACACATGTAATCTCAGCTACTTGGGAGGCTGAGGCAGGAAGATCACTTGAGGCCCGGAGGTCGAGGCTGCAGTGAGCTGAGATTGCACCACTGCACTCCAGCCTGGGAGACAAGAGTGAGACCCTGCCAAAAAAAAAAAAAAAAAAAAAGAGAAGAGAAGAACGCAGGACTATGAGCCTGCTTGCAGAAATTCTGAGAAGAATTCGGGCCAAATAGGAGTTAAAATAAAGTGAGGGGAAATCAACTCCAAAGAGGCACATGAAACTATGTCTCAGAAAGAGTTCGATCGTTTGTTTGATAAATGTTATTCTCTTCAGTTATTAAGAAGAAAAAAAAATCTGTATCTTCTCTATGCCCATATTCCAATACAACCCAGTTTCTGAAATTAGAATGAGAACTTATTGATAATTACTGACATAATAAAGTATTGATAACAAATACTTTGGAAAAGAACAGTATATTTGAAACACTGTTATTAAAAATTAAATTATGGGCCAGACATAAAAGGACAAATATTGTATGATTCCATGTGGTCCCTAAAATAAGAAACTTCATAGAGACACAGTGTACAATAGAGGTTACCAGGGGCTGGGAGGAGAGAATGGAGTGTTATTGTCTAATGAATGCAGAGCTTCTGTTCGGGATGATGAAAAAGTTCTGGAAATGGATAGTGGAGATGATTGCACTACACTGGAAATGTACATAATGCCACTGAATTGTACACTTAAAAATGGTTAAACTGGGCCAGGTGTGGTGGCTCACGCCCCAGCACTTTGGGAGGCTGAGGCGGGCAGATCACGAGGTCAAGAGATCGAGACCATCCTGGCCAACATGGTGAAACCCCATCTCTACTAAAAATACAAAAATTCCCTGGGCGTGGCGGCATGCGCCTGTAGTCCCAGCTACTCGGGAGGCCGAGGCAGGAGAATTGCTTGAACCCAGGAGGCGGAGGCTGCAGTGAGCTGAGATCATGCCACTGCACTCCAGCCTGGCGACAGAGCAAGACTCCGTTTCAAAAAAAAAAAAAAAAAGGTTAAAATGGTAAATTTATGGTAAATTTTATGGTGTGTGTGTGTGTGTGTGTGTGTATACACACACACTATATATTTATATATATTTTAAAAATCAAATTAAGGACACTTTCAGAGTAGGGTATCTGATGGATAGCCTGGTCCCTGAGACACAGCGTGCTGCTCTATGCTGGCTCTCCAAAGTGGGTGAGAGTGGTGCCAGGAACGGGAAGGGATGATACTGACGTGGCCACTCACCAGGAAAGTAGAGGTCACCATGTCCATTTTCGCAAAGTGAGCACAGCTGCAGGTGAGCAAAGCCTCTGAAAATCAGCACTAGCATGGATGCCAAATATTTACGCTTCCTGATTTAAATGCATCAAGCAGACTTGATATTTTTGAGACTCTTAACGGTAGATCATTTTTGTAGAGCAGATAACCACTCCAAAACTGTTCAAGCTAATAAATACAGATTTGGGCCAAATTTACATAATATGTGCTTGTAGGTTCACTGGCCATGACCTTTGATAGCTGAAATTGAACTTTCCCCTTTCACTAAATGTCATTCCAAATTCCAGGCTGTCTTTGGAAGCAAACACTGCATTGCCTGTTGCCATGTGTCTTTTAGATAATAAACGTGGGTTCCACCAGATGGAAGAAGCAAAGTGCTTGCCCCAAATATCTAGGGTTCCTGCTAGGTACTCACGCCCAAACTGCATCTACTGTGAAGAGTTAGTTGACTTTGCATTCTGACCCAATGCAGGATGCTGGGCTCCTACAAGTGGTTTGTCTGATGGGCTCCCAGAGATGGCCAGCTGCCAGCAGCATCATTTAGAAGAATTCTGGTCCTGAGGACAGATTATTGAAAATAATCTATTTCCATTTAACCTCTGCAAAGTAGACTGGGTCCTTGTGGGGCTTTCGTTTCCTTAAAAGCAACTGTGTACTTGCTTAGCAACGTGGACTTAAACCAGTGGAAGAAATACTTAGTGGAGACTGGAAAACAGCAATAAAAGAGAGGTTCAATAGAGGGAGGGGTGGTGGCCGACTACAGACCAAGGGTGAGGGAGCCACAGATTGAATCCCAGCTTTACCATCTCCAAGCAGCATTACTTTCTTCAGTCCCAGTGACCTCATCCATTATAATATTAATAACATATAATTGAAATGCAAAAATTACACTCTCTACCTTTAAGATTTCCTATGGGGATCAAATGAGATGAAACATGCACAGGCAAAAAGGAGTTGCTCAGTAACTTAACCAGTTTATTTCTTCTTTAAAAAGGAAATTGTACAAAACATGTTTCCAGAGTTTTGTTAAGGAAGCTTTGAAAACAGACTCCACCAGTATTTATGGAGTATTCACCATACTGACAGTCTAATACCACTCCTCTGGGGAGCCCAGGATGGTGCAAGATGTATCTCCAAGGCTATGTGTGGTGGCACATGCCCATAATCCCAGCACTCTGAGAGGCCAAAGCAGGAGAATTGCTGGAACACAGGGCTCCAGAACAGCCTGGGTAACATAGCAAGAATCCATCTCTACAAAAAAAAAATTAAAAATGAGCCAGGTGTGGTGGCACATGCCTCTAATTCCAGAGCTCTGGGAAGTTGGGGTGGGAGGATCACCTGGGCTCAGGAGGTCAAGGATGCAGTGAGCTATGATGATACCACTGTACTCAGCCTGGGTGACAGAGCAAGACTCTGTCTCTTAAACAAAACAAAAGACGTGTCTACCACTCCAGGGAAGTGAAAAAGCAGATAAGTAAATTCCTGCTAAGAGTGATCATGACCCTCTCCTATTCAACAACCTTCAGTGGCTCTCCGCCACTTAAGAAAAAATGGAATTAATCCCATTTTCTCATCTGTAAAATGTGGATAGCTATGTTGAAGGGAGTTGTAATCAGAGCTAATTTATGTAAAGCCCCAACCACAGAATCTGATATATGGCACCACTCAGTGAATAGTTCACACTCACCGTTATCATCATTATCATTAAATCAGACTATCTTCCTCCCAGTCTCCCACTGTTCCACCTCACACACCTTAACCCTGGGCTCAAACTGGTCCACAGCTTTCCTCAAATATGCTCTGCTCTGCACTCTCCCTTCTCCACACCTTTGGGCACACGCCCTCCCGTGTGGAATGCCTTGCTCCCAGCTCTGTCAGGTGGAATCCTAGCCATTCTTCCAAGTCAGCTCTGATGCTTCCTCCAAGTCCTCACCACTCCCAAATCAGACTAAATATCCCACTCCTTTGTGTTCCCACAGCATTGCTTCGCCTTCCCTAGCTGGGTTCACCTACATGTTTCCCCTAACAGTGTAAATTCCTAAACCAAGTTTGTAGGAAGGCATGAAGAATAAACACTGGAAAAATTTTACCACAAACTGAGTAACTAACGAAATTCCATGAAAGTGGTATGATAATAACAGCTACCATTTTTTGAAAGCTTTACGTGCATCAAGACTCATTTAGGTTTTTTTGTTTGTTTGTTTGTTTGTTTTGTTTTTTTTGAGAAGAAGTCTCGCTCTGTCACCCAGGCTGGAATGCAGTGGCACCATCTCGGCTCACTGCAACCTCCACCTCCCAGGTTCAAGCAATTCTCCTGTCTCAGACGCCCAAGTAGCTGGGACTACAGGCACCTGCCACCACGCCCGGCTAATTTTTATATTTTTAGTAGAGATGGGGTTTCACCATATTGGCCAGGGTGGTCTTAACCCCTGACCTTGTGATCCACCCACCATGGCCTCCCAAAGTGCTGGGATTACAGGCGTGAGCCACCGTGCCTGGCCTGTTTTATTTTTCTTATTTCATGGATTGATAAACTGAGACCCAAAGAGATTAAGTCACTTGCTCAACATTACACAGCCATTAAGTGGAAGTTCGGTATTCAAACCCAGGAAGTTTGCCTCAAGAACCTACACTTTTCAACACATCATACTGTTTCTCAGCAGCATTATAACTATTTATTGTGAACTACCTAAGAAAACATATGGTGGCTGTAATCAGTTGTCTCAGGGCTAGATTTTAAATCTTTGAGATCTGGGGATTGAATATACAGCACAGTGACTATGGTTAATAATGATATTTGTACACTTGAAATTTGCTGAGACAGTAAATCTTAAATGTTCTCACCATGCAAGAAAAAATAACTATGTGAGGTGATGAAAGTGTTAACTAACTTGATGATAATAAACATTTCACAATATATATGTATATCAAAGCATCGTGTTGTACACAAATTTTGTCAATCATAACTCAATAATGCTGGAAAAATAAAATAAGGCCGGGCGCAGTGGCTCACGCCTGTAATCCCAGCACTTTGGGAGGCTGAGACGGGTGGATCATCTGAGGTCAGGAGTTTGAGGCCATCCTGGCCAATACGGTGAGACCCCCTCTCTACTAAAAATACAAAAATTATCTGGGTGTAGTGGCAGGTGCCTGTAATCCCAGCTACTTGGGAGGCTGAGGCAGAAGATCTCTTGAACCCAGGAGGCGGAGGCTGCAGTGAGCCGAAATTGCGCTATTGCACTCCAGCCTGGGCAACAAGAACGAAACTCCATCTCAAAAACAAAATAAAATAAAATAAAACTTTGGGATCCATCAAGGTACTCTGGTCTGTATGTAGATCCTTAAGATTTCAGGACTAGTTCACTTCTCTTTTATATCCTTCCTCATTGAAGCTACTATTGCTTACAGACACTTCCTTTCCTGCTACAGCCAACACTAGGCAACCTTGGAGAGGGTACAGCCACAATATCACCACATGGACCCACACATACAGTCTGCAGAGGGCAGTTCAACATAAGCACCTACTATATTGAGAGGCACCTTAGGTTGTAATGAAAAGCGTCATAGTCTAATTGCCTTCCTGAGTTTTTGTCACTAGGTACTTAGGATGCTTCTGAGCCCTGGCTCTCATGAAAGTGCAACAAAATATAGTCAGTACCTCCTGATGAATGAACTGTAACAGTCACCAAAAAAGTTTGCAACCCCATGGCTAGTGCAACAGAATAGCTAAAGGGAAACTGGGAGTCTGCACATTCACCTTAGCCATGGTATATTTCATGATGGATCTTGTAAACAGCTGAAGGGTCAGGTTTTTAAATGAATGCAAAGATCAGGACAGACAAAAATGAAATTCAGCTAAGGTTCTTTACTCTGCAAAACAGACAAGGATCAACTTACATGAAATGCTAAAAAATGATGTGGGTATTTAATGTTTCCAATCAGTGGTCAATCAATAAATGTTAGTGACTGACTAATTTCTTAATTAGTTAATCCAGTGACAGTTCACCTTTTGGCATGACTTTATAAACAAGAAAACTGAAGGCTGGGCAAGGCTATCATGCAAAAAAAATGACAAATCTCAAACTGAAATTCCCCATTACAACTTATTGACTCTAAAGCATTAATAGGAAAAAACTCTATTTTATATATGTATATACACATATGCATACATATATAATATAAAATAATATATAGTATTAAATAATCTTCCCCGATATCAAAATATTATTTTAAAAGATGTGAGCAGCGTGCCTCACACACTAGCCTTCATAAAATTCCATTCTGAATTCCTTGTCACACGTACAAATGATGATTTTCTTTTTAGTGGTGTTTTTGACATGTAATATTAAATAGCATCCTATTCCTTCCTTTGGAAAGAACTTTTGAGGAGCCGAATTAATTTTGGAGATGACTTTTCATTTTATTTAAGCCAAGTTATTTTTTTCTCTTTTGGTATTTTAGCCAAACAGAATTCTTAGAAATGAAAAAAAAAATAGTAACAAGTATATTCCTAGAGCAGAGTAGCCTTTCAGAATTGAAAATGTTACATCAACCCTTTAATGTTACCCAGTCTTTTTAAATTCCCTTAAGAAAAAAATACCAGATATTCACAAAATGTGGCCAGAACTGGATGTGTCATTTATTTGGATTTCTGATTTGGCCGACATGGTTATGCATGACATAAAACAGTTTAAAAAAATGGTTTTTAGTAACTTCATAAATATGGCTTACAGTGAAGCTGAAGCAATTCTATCTGATGTTAGAATTTTCTAATGCCAAAGATATACGCCAGTAGTTTAGTTTAAATGATGTGAGGCTGAATCCAACTATTACTGTAAAAACTGTTTAACCAAAAACATCTATTTTTGTAATTTTTATGAAATAGTAATTAGTACTAAGCTTATCCAAAAACATTTTTAATATCTTACCTGAAGGATTATTTCTGTATTTCTAAATGGGCTCTTTCCTTTCTTCTTACCTTTGTAAATATTTATTAAACTGTATTATATGCAGGAATGGGCTTAACACTTGGAATACAAGGTTTAAGATAAGTCAATTTCTGTCTTCATGAATCATTTACCAAGATAGCTATATGAGCAGAAAATTGCAATATAATAGCGGTAACACAGCAAGAGGATAATTTCTGTTTTGTTTTTTTTTTTCCTTGAGACGAGCTCTCTATCTGTTGCCCAGGCTGGAGTGGAATGGTGCAGTCTAAACTTTCTGGGCTCAAGAAATCCTCTTCCCTCAGCCTCTCAAAATGCTGACATTACAGATGTGAGACACCATGCTTGGCCAGGAATTTCAATTAGGCCTCAACGAATGAGTGGGAGTTTACCAGGCAGAGAACAAGAGTCTCATGCGAGAAGAAACAACAGGGACAGGTGCATGGTTATTATATACATAGTATGTTTAAGAAGAAAACAAATATTATATGGAGAGATGGAAGGGATGGGAGTCACGGGAGATGAGATTTAAATGGTAAGTTGATAAGGAATTCCTAGGGGCCTTAGAGGCCATGCAGTGAAATTCACATTTTACCTTATCAGGAGCAGAAAGCTAACAAAATCCTTTCAATTATTCATTTTACTTCACCATATTCATTTGCTACCAAAGGAGTATTAAAAAACACACACACACATGAATTGCCCTAATATTAAAAATACCTTCATTCTTGTTTTCTTTACTTCTAGCCTTTGTGGATAGGCATAGATTTTTGTCACTGCTTTGTAATCAATGTGTTTGCACAATTTTGAAATATGAATTTTATACTTAACATTTGTTGGGTTTAGCCGAAAGCTGCCTTCTTCCATATTTTAAGTTTGGCCTAAAGGTTTCTCCGCATGCAGTGAACCGTAACCTACCTGGATGTGTAAACAGGCTGTAACCTATTCTTGTACCAATCTCTGGGTTTCGGCGAATCACAGGCAGCCTATCGTTCAAACCCTGTTCAAATAAGGCGAACGCTGAGCTGAAACCAATCTGGCTGTTTCTGTACCTCACTTCTGTTTTCTGTCCGTCGTTTTCCTTTTTCTGTCTATAAATCCTCTCCAACCACACAACAGCATGTCAGAAATGCCCTGAATCTATTCTAGTTCGGGAGGAAAGGAGTAGAGAGGAGCTGCCTGATTTGCAAATAGTTCTTTGCTGAATTAAACTCTGTTAAATTTAATTTGTCTAAAGTTTTTCTTTTAACACATTAGATTATGAGTACTTTTCCATATTTCCACATACTACCAAGGATTTTCAAGTGTAGGAGTAATTCAATCAGACCCTTTCTTTCATATGAGAATTCTCAAAAGAGTAGAATAAATGGAACACAGAAAGAAAAGACTTTAAGCAAGGGGCTTCTTGGAAGCCACTGCAGCAGTCCAGGCAAGTGATGCTGAAGGTCTGCAACAGAACAGGGGCCCGAGAGTGGAGAAGAGTGGGTAAACTATCATATTAAAGAGGCCAAACTCAGACTGGGGGCAGTGGCTCACGCCTGTAATCCCAACACTTTGGGAGGCTTAGGCAGGCGGATCATGAGGTCAGGAGTTTGAGACCAACCTGACCAACATGGTGAAACCCCATCTCTACCAAAAATACAAAAAATTAGCCAGGTGTGGTGGTGCGCACCTGTAATCCAAGCTACTCAGGAGGCTGAGGCAGGAGAATCCCTTGAACCTGGGAAGCAGAGGTTGCAGTAAGCTGAGATGGTGCCACTGCACTCCAGCGTGGGTGACAGAGAGAGACTCTGTCTCAAAAAAAAAAAAAAGGCAGAACTCCAGCATATGAGCTAGGGATGAAGCAGAGGAAGAGGAGGTGTCCAGCATCAACAAATGGTGAGCTAGTGACCCTGGAGCCCATAAACGTAGGACAATGACAAAGTCAGGTTTAGATTCAAATTGAAGACACCTATGTGATATCCAGCTGGAGTCATGTGGGAGGAAGTTGGAAATCATTGAGCTTAAACTCTGAAGAGAAAGAGACAGAAATACTAGTTGTGTGTGCAGAGTTGATGAGGACATCATGATGGTGCAGATGCCTTCAGGGAAAGCATGTGCGGTAACAAACTCTAGGTCACTGCTTTTCCTTTTTACTCCAACAATGTGCACGTGTGCCAGTTTAATTCTGATTTCTTCTGATGCACGGCAAATGCCTCCCTTCAAAGCTCTCAAATTGTCACTAAAGAAGGGGACCTACCATGTAAATCAGCATCTGTTTTGATGATGCCTGTTAGAAGAAAGTACATTGCATTTCCTGAATGGGTGTGGTTTTACTCACAGCTATACAAAACCACACAGCTTCTCTGAAGGACTTAGACAATCATTAGCCTGTGATAGCATCAGCAAGAGGAACGAGTTAGAACACATTTAACAAAAGGCATTTTGGGTGCTGCTTTACCGAACACTGGCTTAAGTACCTGAAGGGAACTACACTCCTCTAAGCTGGAAAGCACTGCGAGAGCTTTCTAACGATGGTCTTTAGTGGGGGTACTGGACTGGCGCTTTTCCTATTTACATCTGTTCCAAAAGCAGTACCTATGATTTAGGTGGCTGTTTGGAAATCATGTACCTCTCAAGGATGCCTCACGGTAAACGATACAAGTGACACAGTTTCTAACTAGACAAATGCTCTTTTAGAATCATTTTTTTCTGTTTTCCTACCATGGATGGTTACTTGCAAGGAAATAGTTTACATGGACCACTAAAGACCTCCAAAACAGAAATGCCAACATCTGGCATTTTGCTAAAATCCTGTACTCTATAATTTTTTAAAAATCTCGCCCCTCATTACTCCTCCACCTGACATCCTTTTAGACAAAGGCTCAAAGTCAATTATGCAGACAATGGCACCTTTCTCTTCTGTAGCTGACAACCTGGCTCTTGCCTTCTGCAACCCAAAAACAGCCCTCGCTCCCATCAGATGGAAAGAACTACGCAGAGGAAAATCTAGTAAGGTCTCCATGAAGCACATATTAAAAGCCTAATGTGCCCTTAACATGGCTTCAGCAAACTGGGCTTTTTTCCTTCACTTAGATGAGAATTTGAGAAGAATCCACTCGGTAATACCTTTCTGCTCGCCAAACCTCCTTTAGTCAAAACTGAATAGAGACCTGGGAGAAGATACTTCTCCAACACTGGGCTTGAAGGTGCTTGCTTTTTCACACAAACTGAATTCAGGATTGCCACAACTTCTCCAAGCAAAACTGAACTAAGCAACAGCCAAATAAAAGAGAAAAAGTTGTCAAAAAAAATGTGTTAATGCATTTGGTAGTGGTTAGATTAACAGCTAATAAATGTCCTGATGGCCACGCTGGTTCCTTTCTAGGCTAGCTAAGCTTCTGTGAGTTCTTCTGTTTGGATTCCATCTACCAGGGCTGGAGCCACCAGCAAGGGCATTCAGGAGGTGCACCAGAAGCAGCAACGCCCTGCAAATCTCTCCTGGATCATCCAAGACCAGGCATGCCCTTGCTGGAACAAGAGGCGGACGGAAGGAGAGGGCCAAGTGTCACCACTGCAGTCTGCTAACATTGGATTCAAATCCTGAATCCACCACTGTGCACTGTAGGTGCTTTGATGTGCGTCCACTAGAGCTAAACTTGATCCTTTTCAGCAGCGGGACCGCTCTTCTGCCACCAAAACTGACAACCTGCGAGGCCTAACAGCTGAAAGAAATACCACTCAGAATAAACTGCCAAGGGTAGCAGGTGTGGCTTTGGGAGCCAAGGATAAAGCTTCTAGTTTAGCACAGTCCGGTTCCTATCCTCAGATCTTTCTCCTAGCCTGCTGCTCCAGCCCAGCTCCTCATAGCTGATGTCCCCACTATCCCAATCTTAGTCAGGGGCTCCTGTCATTACCACCAACAGAGTTAGTGATTACAAAAGATAAAGAGACAAAAAAAGATTTCCAAAAGAGCCTCTGCCCTAGGGGAACACTTTACGTATTTGGAAGAAAGTGGGTTTCTAAAGGTTCAGAGAATATGCTGACCTCACATCCTGAAAAAGCTTGGCAACTGAAGAGGGAATGCAACCCTCATGGCTTGATGTTGCTTAGGTCAACAAGCAAATATTTCCTGGACACCTACCATAGGCTCAGACCTGGACCCTTTGCTGTGGGAGAGGAGGCAAAGAGGAGGATGCACAATTATTTTCAGATAGTTATTCTCAAACCTCAGTGTGCAAAAGTTAACTAAGGTGAGTTTCCTGGGTTCTACATCCCCAGAACTTCTGATTCATAAGCCTGGTGTTGCTGAATCTGCAACTTTAATAAACATATCCAAGAGATTCGGAAGCAGGAGGTACTGGGATTAGACCACCCTTGGGAAACACTGGTCTGTGATTTGATTCCTGCCTTGAAGCCATGTGCAACCCATGTGCAATTGTGCTGATGGCAAACACTCACAGAGTAATGCACAGCAGTACATTCTGTAAGAAGCAGGCCCTAAATGTGATAGAAGTTCATAAAGAGAGACTGCTCAGGGCCGGGCGCAGTGGCTTACACCTGTAATCTCAGCACTTTGGAAGGCCAAGGCAGATGGATCATGAGATCAAGAGATCAAGACCATCCTGGCCAACATGGTGAAACCCCATTTCTACTAAAAATAGAAAAATTAGCTGGGCACGGTGGCGCATGCCTGTAATCCCAGCTACTCAGGAGGCTGAGGCAAGAGAATTGCTTGAACCTGGGAGGCGAAGGTTGCAGTGAGCCAAGATTGCCACTGCACTCCAGCCTAGCAACAGACCCAAGACTCTGCCTTAAAAAAAAAAAAAAAAAAAAAAAAAGAGAGAGAGAGAGAGACCAGTCAGTGAAGTCCTGAGGATTCAGGGAAGACTTTGTAAGTGACAGCCAGGATTTGTGGTGAGGCAGAACTTTGATAGAGATAGTCCCCAAGCAACTGTCTTAATCAAACCTCCCGATTCAGCATGACAAAGTGGCCATGGCATACAGCATAAATGGAGAGGAAGATACAGGATAGAAAACCACCAGCAAACAGGTAAAGAGGGTTCCTATGTTGATTACAGGAAGGATACTGTCACCAGGAGAATCACAAAACTAGCACTTCCAGATAACACTGTGTTTGCATTTGCTTTCTACCACATTCATGTGGTTTCCTGCACTTCATAATTTAATATTTGTAAGAGAAAAAAAAATGCTGTTATGAAACCCCAATAATGCATCACTTGAAGGCAGAAAGCCAGCTGCTAACAAGAGTGACATCTGAGCATCATTTCTGAAGCTCTGCTTCAGAAAGGGGATGTTTAGTAAGAAAGAACAATAATAAATGCTATTCAACGTAAAACAAAGTGTGGGGATCCACAGGGTTAACAGGCTGGCCGGTAACCAGTAACACAATGACGGCAAGCACAGAGAAGGAAAAAGTCAGATCCCCTAAAGAAAAACAAAGGACAGTATTTCAAAAGAAGCCTATCTCACTTATTTGGATATAATATTCAGGCCAGGCACAGTGGTGCATGCCTGTAATCCCAGCACTTTGAGAGGCCAAGGCAGGATGATTGCTGGAGCCCAGGAGTTCCAGACCAGTCTGGACAACATAGCGAGACCTCGTATCTACAAAAAAATGGAAAAATTAGCCAGGCATGGTGGCGCGTGCCTGTAGTCTCGGCTACTGGTCTGTGATGATGATTCCTGCCCTGAAGCTGTGTGTACCCCTGATGGCGTGATGACAAACACTAACAGAACAACACATAGCAGTGCATTTTATATGATGCAGGCCCTAAATGTGACAGAAGTTCATAAAGAGAGACCAGTCAGCGAAGTCCTAAAAATTCAGTGAAGACTTTATGAATGACAGCCAGGATAGTCCCAGTCTCATATGGTCCCAGCACAAGCTACGATTGCACCACTGCAGTCCAGCCTGGGCAACAAAGAGAAAGAAACCCCGTCTCAAATAAATAAATAAATAAATAAATTAAAATTAAATACATAAAAATGAATATAATATTCATAAAGCACTGTGCCACATTTTTTTTTAATGTTGCAAGGGAATAAATTATTTACTGCGGGCCGGGTGCAGTGGTTCACATCTGTAATCCCAGCACTTTGGGAGGCTGAGGCAGGCGGATCACCTGAGGTGAGGAGATCGAGACCATCCTGGCTAACATGGTGAAACCCCAGCTCTACTAAAAATACAAAAATTAGCTGGGCATGGTGGCACGCATCTGTAGTCCCAGCTACTCGGGAGGTTGAGGCAGGAGAATCGCTTGAACCTGGGAGGTGGAGGTTGCAGTGAACTGAGACTGTGCCACTGCACTCCAGCCTGGTGACAGAGCAAGACTCCATCTCAAAAAAAAAAAAAACAAAAAAATTATTTACTGCAGATGCTGACAGTCCTGTTTGACCAAAGGGCTGGCTGTCAAATGGGCAAATGGGGCCAGGAGGGACCCCCCGAGGACCTGGCTCCTTTCCTCCACACTGGTTGATACAATGAGCCCCTCTGCAAATGACCACCAAGCCTACACAGAAATTCTGTTGGGCAAGAACTGAAGTGGATAATTATTTAATTCATTGCACTAGAGGGAACTGAATTATAAATTTGCAGGAGACCTTGGAGATCAGTTAGGCACATACATCTTTAAAGGCAAGTCGTTCCAAGATGATGAGCAAGTTCTCCAAGGTGACCAAGATAGGTGGGGCAGACCTAGGCTTCAATTTGAGGACTCTGCTTCCAGGTAATATCATGAACGGGGTTGATAAAAAAAAAATTCCTGGAAGTCCACATTATGTTGGTGTATGCTCTGGAATGGTTTTATCATTTATTTATAGTTTAGAGTGTTTGAATTCCAACCCCCAGACTAAGACTGTCATTCAAGGGCCCATGTATACTTAAAAGTTACTCAGTAAATGTTTGCTGAACAGGACTTGGAAACCCCCATCATCTTTCACCTTGCCCATCACAATAGTCATGCATCATTTAATGACAGGGATATGCTCTGAGAAATGCATTGTTAGGTGACTTTGTCACTGTGCAACATCACAGAGTACTTTCACAGGCCTGGATGGTACACCCTACTACACGCCTGCGCTATACGGTATAGCTTATTGCTCCTAGGCTACAAACCTGGACGGCATGCTACTGTAGTGAATACTGTAGGCAACTGTAACACAATGGTAGGCATTTGTGCCTCTAAACACATCTAAACATAGAAAAGGTACAACCAAAATACAGTATTATAATCTTTTTTTTTTTTTTTTTTTTGAGATGGAGTCTCGCTCTGTCGCCCAGGCTGGAGTGCAGTGGTGCAATCTCGGCTCACTGCAAGCTCTGCCTCCCAGGTTCACGCCATTCTGCTGCCTCAGCCTCCCAAGTAGCTGGGACTACAAGCGCCCGCCACTACACCCGGCTAATTTTTTTTTTGTATTCTTAGTAGAGACAGGGTTTCACCGCGTTAGCCAGGATGATCTCAATCTCCTGACCTCGTGATCCGCGCGCCTCGGCCTCCCAAAGTGCTGGGATTACAGGCGTGAGCCACCACACCCAGCCCAGTATTATAATCTTATGGGACCACTGTAATACGTGTGATCTGTCGTTGACTGAAACTTCATTATGTGGCACATGACTGTATTTGATCACAAGACGCAAAAAACTTGCCATTAAATTGAATCTACTTCCTCTCGTGCGATTAATCCCTTATGTTTTCAGCTAAAATGGAGTATCTGGTAGATGTAGTTTATTTGCTGTTTGTGTGTTTAGTTGTTTGGGTTTGCTTTGTTTTTGCTTTTGTTCTTTTTTCTAACCACAAATACATTCTATTCAGATCATACTATTCTGCAAGTTTCAGAAACAAACACATAAAGTAAATGCGGTTGCTCTCTCAGTGCTCTGTCACTAGGACAACATTTTTTCAAATGTCCTGTTATTTAGGATGTAGAGAAATAGCAATACGCTTGAAGAAGAAGTTCTGGTACACCAGTGAAGTGATGCCCGATGACATTTAAAGCTAAAAGATGTCAAGTCTTTTGGATGACTTACCAAAAACCATTTGTGTTTCAAGACCATCCGTGCAGGCTGAAATCCACTCTTTCTCTCTTGTTCCTGGTCTGCAGCAGCACTAAGTTTGAAGCTTCAAAATAGACTCTTTCACTATGCTCCAGTATGCTGCAGTCAAACAAAACAAAATACCAAGTCAGAATGAAAATGCCACTTCAAGCAGTTAGTGGATATTCAGGGGGAAATCCCTGGCCTTTCTCAAATGTATATTTCATAACCTCAAACAAGCATGTTAATTATCAGGATGAAGCCATCTCACTGCTTATCTACATAAGGTGCCCTAAAATACTGGAGGTGGGGTGTGGGAAGGAAGAAAGAAAGAAAAAAAAAACAAGCATGACACTGGGGGAGGTAGCAGGTCTTGAAAATCAGAATGTACACCAGTGGGAATGCACTTGCAAAATTTCAAGTTTACCGATTGAAAGATGTGAATAAAGAAAAATTCAGTACGTCTAAGTGATTAAAGACTGATGTGCAGTATCAAGGGCAGAAAGTGAAGAAAGTTTGCTTCAAATGAAAGACTCAGACTAATCAACTGATGTGAATACTTTTTAAATAAAGAGCTATTAAGATGGAACAAAAAAGATAAAGCATAAGAGAGAGAACATTTTCCATTTTGCCCTATAAGTAGGTAATGCATGGGTTTCCCTTGTGTGATTCTTGATAAATACTTTCTCCACCCAAGCTGAAAAGCAGTAGTTACTTTACACACTGAATATGAAATGAATGTTTAAAATATGCATGCCTCTTTACCCCCACTCAGAGCAGCTGATAAAGCCTACACATTAGAACCTCGTCTGACAAGGTCACTCTGAAAAGTTCCTTTCTGCCTTGTGAGCTTTTAACGCTCACTTGTCACAGGCTGTTGTTAAAGCATCTTCTGATGCTTAGTCAAATCCACCCCACTGTTTGTTTTTTGACAATGGCCATTTGAGAGCCTAGAAACAGTCTTCCAAAGGTGTCTGCCTCCTTTTTTAGCCTTTTATGAGCTCATCCTCATCTATGTTGAAAACCCATCGGCTGACTGTCATCCAGTTCCCTGAGTATGGTGGCCACATCATACTTGTAACCCTAAACTCCATAAATCTCCAAAGGTCCCACGGTGATCATCAAAGATTGGATCAAGTGACCAAGTTGTAAGAAAGAGGATATGCTCGTATGCCTCAGAAGCTTACTGTGTGAATAACTAATTCCTTGAAAGCCTTCTGTAACTATTACTTTATGGAATAGTCAACCTTTTTTTCGGGACGTTTGAGGAGTTGTGTCTATCTGTGGTTAAATTCCTGGGAACACTAAAAACTTTTGAGGAGGAGAAAGTGTCTCTCCGTTAATGTTTAAACATGTGAGTTGAGATAATGCCATTCAATTTTCCATCTAGCCGGAGGAACAACTGCCTGAAAATGGCAAAAGCCTTTTTTATTTTTTGGATGCTATCAGTACCCACAGAAAATGGGGTTGTAAGGATTTTATTAGTTTTATGTAACTCAGCTCCCACTCAAATGTGTAAGGCAACATACTGATAGAAATCAACATAAGCCAGGAAGTTCAAAGCATGACAAACTGTCTTTACTTTACCGGCTTGGTAAAAACAGAATTTGGAGAGAGGAGGAGGATTTAAACAAGTTCACTGCAAGTTACTGGCTTGTATCAATCTTTTCTTTTTTAACTAAAAATATCTTGCTGCATTTCTCTTATTTGTTACCAACTTCATATCTCGAGGTATTCTATAATTGGAAGAGGTCCTTGACGTTTCATTCCAATGTCTTCTGCAAAGGAACCTGCTGACCCAGGGAGGTTGACATACCTCTTTTTAAAGTCATACAGAAAGTTAATATGTACTTTGACTGGATTCTGGGTTCAACCACTCATGCTCATTGACGCTTAATGGACATAAACTCATTTAATGAAATGTAATGCGGTTTTAGTTTGAAAAATTTACCAGTAGCATGATACTTCCTCATAGTACTCTCTTTCTGTTTTGTTTTTGCCATAAGAAAATAAATTCATTTCTGGATTATATTATTTTCAACTATCTTGCAGCAAAATCGATCTGGGAGAGGCAGAATGGTCCCATTTGTTACTTTAACAACCTTCACCAGCTGCCAAAGCTAGGTGTCCAGAAAAGTAAGGTTTATACTATTCATACAGAAAAAAAAAATAAGGACTCATCTAAGTGACAATATTTTCCATTCTTACTTATATCTGTAGATGTGAAGGAGTTGGAAGTGATTCATTCTGTGATTTATCGCTGACCTTCATTTGCACATACTACAACAGCTATGAGGCAACTCTTATCAAAAGAAAACAACTGAAAATTCTACACACTTCTTTTTAAGCAATAATTTCAATATGCTTCCCTCTTTCAGCAAACTCTTTATCAATACCGTTAATAATAATCAACAAAACAAACTGGCTTGGGTTTAATCTCTGTCACCTATCCCTTCTTGTTTACCATTTGAAGTTATCATAAGCAAAGATAAGGCCAAAAGCCCAAAAAGCAGAAGAGAAAGCACAGGGGCCTAGGGCATTCACAGATATGCCTGCATATGTGAAAGTTGGCTATATTTTAAAAAGGATCTCACTCCAGAGGGTTTTCCAATTTGATAGACATTTTGGTGAAAATTTTCTGAACAGTTATAAGCAACAGCAGCAGCAGCAAAGTATGGGATATCAACAACCTATAAACAGTGACCTGGGAGTCATGAAATATACTTTTTAGTCTTAATGTTGTAGCTAATTGGACTTTTAAATGTAAGTCACGGCCTTTTAAATAAAATTAGTTCCTAATCTATCAAATAAAGGAACTTATTAAATGTTTGCCATAATTAATTCTCAATTATAATTTGTTTTTACATGTATTTGAATGTTTCAAATCAAATAAAATCATAACAAACACAACTATCTTATATGATTTACTAGACCCACTAAGTATATCTTTATTCAAAAATGCAACAATTAGACACAGATTGCATAATAAGAGACAAACAGGTTCTCAGTAGAATATCAACTCAGGGAAAAAAGAGGTTTATTTTGTTTTGGTTTTTTTTTTTTTTTTTTTTTTTTGAGACAGAGTTTTGCTCTTTCACCCAGGCTGGAGTGCAGTGGAGTGATCTCAGCTCACTGCAACCTCTGCCTTCTGGTTTCAAGCAATTCTCCTGCCTCAGGCTCCCAAGTAGCTAGGATCATAGGTGCCCACCACCACACCCAGCTAATTTTTGTATTTTTAGTGGAGACGGGATTTCACCATGTTGGCCAGGCTGGTCTTGAACTCCTGACCTCGTGATTCACCCGCTTTGACCTCCCAAAGTGCTGGGATTACAGATGTGAGCCACCGCACCTGGCCCAGGAAAAGGGTATTGTAATCAATAAATAGTGCTGGGAAACCTGGCTCTTCGTTTCGAAAGAGATTGCTATCTTACACCATATGGAAAATAAATTCTAGATATATAACTAAACATATAAACATGTGTTTATACAAATATACATATATAGCATTTATTATACATATATATTATTTTACAAAATATAGAAAAATAATTTTATAAGCATGAAAGGCCTTGTAGGCCATTGTAAAGATACCGACTTTTAAGTAAAATGGGAAGACCAGAGATAATTTTTAATGCAGTAGTATCATGATCTGCCTTACATTTTAAGGGCTCATTTGGTCTGATTGTCAGGAATAGACCATAAGGGGATATAAATTAAAGCACAAGTTACTGTTATAAGCAGCCTGCAGGATGGCTTCCAGTGATCCCACCTCTTGGAATTCATGCCCTTGTAAAGCCTTCTTGAGTGTGGACTGGATTTAGTGACTCAATTCTAGCAAACAGACTGTGGCAAAGGTAATGGGAGATCATTTCCAAGACTGGGTTACATGAAGATGGTGGCTTCCATCTTGGGATCTTGCATCCTCTTCTGGGTTACTCACCTGGGGGAGGCTGACTGCCAGGCTGTGATGCAGTCCTGTGGAAGGGCCCACATGGCATATCACTGAGGCCTGCTAGCATCTATGTGAGTGGATTTGGAAGCAGATCCCTACCGCCCCCACCCTATCCTTCAGATGAAACGTCAGCCCAGGTTAACAACTTGACTACAACCTCATGAAAGACTTGGAGCTAGAGACACCCAGCTATGATATGCAGTGATTCACACTTAGAAAAACTGAGAGATAATAAACACTTGTTGTTTTAAGCCACTAAGATTTGGAGTAATTACTTACACAGCAGTAGATAACTACTACAGTTACAATGTATGAAACACTCTTCTGGGAACTTTACATGACTTTTTACAGTGGGAGAAACTGAGCCCCAAAGAAGTTAAATCACCTGTTCAACAGCACACATACATGGTAGAGGTGGGACTCAAACTCAGGCCATCTGACTCCAGAAACCAGGTTCTTAATCCCTGCATCACACTACCCCTTTAAGAACCATTTTTCCTACTTTAGGTGTGCATGCCTGAAATTTGACTTTCCACTGTAGAATATGCTAAAATCACACAATTTGCACAAGCAATGAAGCATCTGCATCTTCATCAAACTTCTTTTTTTTTTTTTTGAAATAGAGTTTTGCTCTTGTTGCCCAGGCTGGAGTACAATGGTGTGGTCTCAGCTCACTGCAACCTCTGCCTCTCAGGTTCAAGCAATTCTCCTGCCTCAGCCTCCCAAGTAGCTGGGATTACAGGCACACGCCACCACGCCCAGCTAATTTTTTGTATTTTTAGTAGAGACAGGATTTCACCATGTTGGCCAGGCTGGTCTTGAACTCTTGACCTCAGGTGATCTGCTGGTCTCGGCCTCCCAAAGTGCTGGGATTACAGGCGTGGGCCACTGCACCCGGCCATTCATCAGGCTTCTTAACCTGCCACATAGCTCTACAATTCTTGCATCTTTGATACCTTAACTATATCATAAGCTATATTCAGTTGTCAAAGAAAACAGAAAGGTAGCCTCTTGCTGTTTGAAGAGCAACCTCAGTATGGTTCTTCCATTTCAGTCTGGTTAATTTGCGTCATTTAACTATTAGAGAATTTCCAGCACCATTTGCCAACGCTGTAATAAATAGTCCTATAAACTGAATGTCTTTTTGCAATTGTAAAGGGTTTTCCCTGAAACTACTCAGTGGTAAGGAAAAGAACAAGATACTGAATAAGATAGCCACAGTATTTTCTGTTTGGATTTTTTTTTTTTTTTTTTTTGAAATGGAGTTTTGCTCTTGTTGCCCAGGCTGTAGTGCAATGGTGCAATGTCGGCTCGCTGCAACCTCTGCCTCCCGGGTTCAAGCGATTCTCCTGCCTCAGCCTCCCAAGCAGCTGGGATTACAGGCGTCCACCACCATGCCTGGCTAATTAATCTTTAGTAGAGACGGGGTTTCACCATGTTGGTCAGGCTGGTCTCTAACTCCTGACCTCAGGTGATCCACCCACCTCGGCCTCCCGAAGTGCTAGGATTACAGGCAGGAGCCACCGTGCCCGGCTGGATTTTTTTTTAATATAGGAAAAAATCAATTTTCAGTTGGCAATAGAAAGTCACTAAGGATTCAAACTGTACGAAGTGTTTCAGTAGGAACCGGCAAGACCAAAAAATTTTTTAAAAAGAACTTTTGAATTATATAAAATACAGTGACTATTGTCCCTATAATTATTATAACAAATTAAGATGTTTCTATTCTTTCTGTGGCATAGACATGTGAAATACAGAAGGAGAAAGAAATTCTCGCTGCACTCCTGCCTCAATACAAATTTAGAATGGCACTGTGCCGGGAAGAAACTGGTGCTGGGTGGTGCAAGTATCAGTCTCATGTCTTAGGAAGATGATGCTCATCACGCAGCAGCCAGGAGCATGTTTTTTAATTTTTTATTTATTTATTTATTTATTTATTTATTTATTTAGAGACAGGGTCTTGCTCTGTCACTTAGGCTGGAGTGTAGTGGTGTGATCATAGCTCACGGCAACCTCGAACTCCTCAACTCAAGCAGTCCTCCCAGCTCAGCCTCCCAAGTAGCTGGGATTACAGGTGTGACCCATCATGTCCGGCCAGGAACATGTTTTTGATCCATACTGATGGAATATTCTTTATTTTGGTCTGACTCTTAGGATTGTACCCACAACCAATGGAAACTAAAGCACTGGAAAGAAAGAATCATAAAAAGAAATACAACAAAACCCACTGCCATTTCTAAATCTTTCTGTTACCCAAAGTGACTGTGTTTTATTAAAGGCATGTGATGCATCACCGAAGGTATTTTTTGCCATTTAAAAATACCAAACAGTAGTAACAGCTCAACAGCTAGGCTGCTACCACTTAACCTGCAATTTGGACAATTTTGTGGGGATGAAATTACTTTGTCTTATGACACATGGAGCAGATGCTACTAATTAACACACAAAAATGTCTAAAACAGAGCTTTAAAAAAACATATGCATTTGGAAACAGAAGTAGAAACAGCTTCAAAGAGTATAAGCAAAATGGCATAATACAATGAATGAAGAGTATGTTTTTTTAAGAAAGTCAATCAGATTCGCAAGTGAATTTTATAGGCCTCTCTCTAAATAAAGTATGGATTTGAAGGAAAATGTCTTGCTTTTAATTTTTTTGTTAACGGAAAGAGGGCAGCCCATATCATATACCAGCCGGTACGTTCCATAGGATGTTATATTCCATTGTGGAACATTATGTTGTGCCAAAATTAAAAGGAGGATAAAAAAAGGTTGGGATAATTTGTTTTTAAAGGTTGGGATAAATTTGGGAAAGACTTTGGAGGGTCTCATATGTTCATGTGTATTGTAAATCTATGAGGGGAGAAAGCACTCATCTAGGCCCAAAATATATTTTACCACAGAACACTTTTTCCAGAAGAAAGGTGAAACCAGTGGACACAGGGTGTAGACACTGACCAGACTAGGCCAGTGGTCCTCACACTTTTGGTCCTCACACTTAAAAGCTCCTTGGGTCCTCAATAAATTTTAAGAGTATAAAGTTTCCTCTATACTCCTAAAATTTATTGAGGACCCCAAGGAACTTTTCATTAGGTAGATCATATTTAACAACTATTATACCATATTAGAAGCAAAATTGAGAAAAATGTAAAATATTCATTAGTTCATTTAATAGAAATACTAATATACCCATTGCATACTACATGAAATAACATCTTTATGAAAAAATAATTATATTTTTCAGAACAAAAAAGTTAGTGACAAGAGTGAGATCCATTTAGATTTTTGCAGCTCTCTTTAATGCCTGGCTTAATGGAAAATGGTTAAATTCTCTTCTGTGCCTCTGAATTCAGTTTTCTGTGATATGTTGTTTGGTTGAAGTATGTGGAGAAGATGTGGCCAATAGTTTCAGCAATTGTGGATATTCTTTTTTTATATCATACCAAAACTCAATAAGTGGTAGTTTCTTAAAGGGGAGCAGCACCATGGAATCTGAAGCATAGAAATAAACTCTAAGTATTCTTTTATATTAAAATTCATTAGTCTATCTTGAACTTTGGATGGATCTTTAGCTATGCATGATTTTGTAACATCATACCCTGGTCATTTGGAAAATTATATTAGTTCAGTGAATTATGCAAATCTTCCAAAAGTTGACACATTTCATTACACAATATCATCACACATCATATAGCCTCTGAAAAACTCCGCTGTACACATGGAAGAGAATGGGAATGGAATAGGTAAATAATGTCTTAGTATTACCATAAAAATAATCTTGATCTTACAGATGTCCCTCCAGAAAAGGTCTTGGGTGGGGGTGGGGGGGTTCCCAAAGTGAGAACTGCTGACCAGGCAGACATTCTAAACCCCACAGATCCCTACTGGAAGTAAAAGCACAGAACTCTAGGTTTCCTTCTGGCCTCAATTTCCATAATTCCCACCATTTGTCCTCTTGGGGATCACTGAGTACAACCTAACAAAGACCATTAACCCATGTGGTCAAGAACATGAGATAAACCATGAGGGCACCAGAGGGAAGAGTTATCTGTGGGCGGAAAACTGTATTTACTTGGATTCTACTAGGCAAGAAACTGTGAGAAGTGTGCATTTTTAATTTTGTTTTATTTTTATGGGTACATGATCGTTGTGCATATTTATTGGGTACATGTGATTTTTTGATACAAGCACACAATGTGTAATGGTCAAATCAAGGTATTTGGGATACCCATCACTTCATTTCTTTTTGTTAGGGACATTCCAAATTCATTCCTCTAGTTATTTTGAAATATACAATAAGTTATTGTTAACTATTGTTGCCCTATTGTGCTACTGAACACTAGCTCTTATTCCTACTATCTAACTATATTTTTATAGCCACTAACCAACCTCTCTTTATTCCTCCCTCCTCACTACCCTTTCCATCCTCTGCTAACCATCATTCTACTCTCTGTCTCCATGACGTCATGTTTCTTAGCTCCCTCATATGAGTGAGAATATGTGATATTTGTCTTTCTGTGCCTGGCTTATTTTACTTAACATAACGTCTTCCAGTTCCAGCCATGTTGTTACAAATGACAGAATTTCATTCTTTTGTATGGCTGAATAATATTCCACTGTGTATATGTACCTTATTTTCTTTATCCATTCCTTCATTGATGGAGACTTAGATTGATTCCATATCTTGGCTATAATGAATAGCTGCAACAAACATGGGAGTGCAGGTATCTCTTCAATATACTGATTTCCTTTCTTCTGGATATATACATGACTTTTCTTTTCTTTCTTTCTTTTTTTTTGGAGTCTAGCTGTGTCACCAGGCTGGAGTGTAGTACTGTGATCTCAGCTCACTGCAACCTCTGACTCCCTGGTTCCAGTGATTCTCCTGCCTCAGCCTCCCGAGTAGCTGGGATTACTGGCACATGCCACCACACTCAGTTACTTTTTGCATTTATAGTAGAGACGGAGTTTCACCATGTTGGCCAGGATGGTCTTGCTCTCCTGACTTTGTGATCCGTTCGCCTCGGTCTCCCAAAGTGCTGGCATTACAGGTGTGAGCCACTGCACCCAGCCATGACTTTTTTTTTAGCAAACACTTTCTTCCAATCTAGGCTTTAAGAATCTAGTTAAAATTTCTTTTAACTAAAGGAATAAACTTTTAAAGTACATGGAAAGAGATTCAGAAAGACCTTTTTCATGAAATCAATTCATGAAGTAACTAGGTAAATTATAAATCATTATCTATTTAGAAAGAAAATACGCAAAGAACTACTAAACAACACTGGTTATCTTTGGGTGTTAATGGACACATGCAATGATAATAGCTAACATTCACATGTTAAGCCCTTGAGTTTCATTATCTCCTCTAAGCCCTAGAACCATCCTAGGCAGTGGACACTTTTATTACCCGCCTTCTAATAAATAAAGAAATGGAGGTGAAGGAGCTACATAATGTACCCACAAGTGACAGATTGAGGACTCCAACCTCCATCCACCTGAGAGCAAAGATTCTCTATCTCCTCAGTCTGCTGCCTCCTTTCCAATTAATAGTTGACTGAACTTCGGTAGATTCTTCCTCTGGCAGGTATTCCACAATCATGAAACATCCTCTTCACTTTCTTGTTTCAAAGTGAGGAGTTGGCTTGATGAATTGGCTCAGAGCCCATCCTAAAATATGTACGTGTCGGTAAGATTCTTTTGCCTCCCCAAAGCAGACCGGTTATCACATGGAAAAAGGAGTCTCACTCACAAGCCACACGCTGGATTCTGTGAGGTTAAAACTTTTGATTCTTAGAAGGACATGAGGATAGAGCACTGATGTTCTGTAAACAAAATGATGGTCTGTAAACAAAATTCAAGGTATCCTCAGCCCAGCCCGAATCCCCTGTTTATTCCTCTGAAAGCACATTTATGAAACAAGCTCTGCAAAAATGCCAGTCATCTCTAAGGCACCACAGTAAGGCAAGGAGCTATGTAGTGTTATCCTTTTGAAGTGCTTTCTAAACGCTTAACTCCCTTGGGTCAGTTGATTCACCATCCACCTCTGTCCCCTTTGCTTATTATTTCTCTCACCTCAGATGGCTTTCCTTCTGCTAACCCACAATCGTTAAAAACATACTGAACACTTTCTAGATTATTCTTAGTCATTTTTCAATGCCCGGCTCAAGACATTTGTCTTTCTATAACCACTGCAGCTCACTCTTTCCCCAAAGTGCCTCGGGCCAGGACTCCCATCAAGGTGGGCTTACCTATGTGCTCTCTGACCCCCTGTAATGTTGCCTCATTTGTGTGAGTCTCGGCTTTCGTAACTATTAATAGATGACAGATGTTCTTAAAACCTTCTAGAGAAATCTCTCAAGGCAGTGCACATAGTGCCAGATACAAAATATCATGCTTGCTCTCATTTTTCTCTAATTGAGTGAGGACTAAAGAACACTGGCATGTTTTTTTTGTTTTTGTTTTCTTATTTTTTTGTTTTTATTACTAAAGTTTTAGGGTACATGTGCACAATGTGCAGGTTTGTTACATATGTACACATGTGCCATGTTGGTGTGCTGCAACCATTAACTCGTCATTTAGCATTAGGTATATCTCCTAATGCTATCCCTCCCCCCTCCCCCAACCCCACAACAGGCCCCAGTGTGTGATGTTCCCCTTCCTGTGTCCATGGAACACAGGCATGTTTTTAACGTTGATTTTATTTTTAAACATCTTGCCTTTTGGTCTTGAGAGTCAAGATATTAGCCATGTAATTGAACCAGAAGCTTTAGATATTATTAAAGAGAACAGGAGTCTATAGAGTTCAGCCAAGGGTGCCCACTGAGAAGCTCCATGCTAGTTTATTTGTGACTTTCTCAGGGAAGAGAATTAGGTCTGTCCTACTGCAAACTGAAATAGAATAAAGTAGGATAGTATACTAACTCTTGGCAAAAAATTCTCAGCCATTCTTAATGACATCCATACCTCCAGTTCCATGCCCTGTTCAAGCATTTCGTATACCTCTGTTTTCAGTAGGAATGCCACAAACTGGTATGGAGCTTTTATTATTTTATTTTATTTTTTATTTTATTTTATTTTATTTACTTTATTTTATTTTGAGATAGGGGTCTATGTTGCCCAGTCTGGTCTTGAACTCCTGGCCTCAAGCAATCCTCCCACCTTGGCCTCCTGGGTAAGGATCTTTGTAATGAATATTATTATTTGGATGACAGACTGCAGGAAGCCCAGAATCCACCCCATTTTCTTGGCATCATAATTACTCTTTGAGAAATTGTGCTGTACACTTTGTATAAAATGAGAGCATGTAAATCAAGCAATAATAACAACAATCCTCCCATAGTATGTCAAACTCACGAGGCATTTCCTTCTCCTCCAAACCCTCCTTTCTCTCAGACAAACCAAGTAATTGAAGACATGTATTTTCAAGGAACATGGCTAAGAGCAGACTGTTTCTTTACCACATCAAACTTCTGTGCAGAAGTTAAGAAAGGAGAATCACTCTAATGCTTATTCCTAATGACTGTGATAGACTTTCTGCCTTGAATGGTGCATTTCCATTTGTAAGCTCCATTTATAGAATCACACAAGTTTTTGCCTTCCTCTGAAACCTAACACCCTGATCTTACCCTTTTTTGTATACATCACTCTTGGTGGAAATTTTCAACAACCACAAAGGTGGGGGAAAGGGCGTGGCGTACACTGACTCCTTAGTCATGTTTCCTGATGTTGCCATTTTAGTGTATTTTAAGTATTTACTTATGGCAACAATTATAGTTCACAAAGCACTGTTCTCTTTTTCCATCCGGCAGACCCCCTTGGTGTGCTCTACTACAAAAGGCAGTTTTCTGAATCACTGCTATTAATCAGTAAAGAATTGATGTCCCTATTTGGTGAATAGCAAACTGCTCCTATTGCTCTCTGAACTGAACTGAACAATCTTTTTTTTTTTTTTTTTTTTTTACTTTAAGTTCTGGGACAAATGTGCAGAACGTGCAGGTTTGTTACATAAGTATACATGTATCACGGTGGTTTGTTGTACCCTTCAACCCGTCATCTAGGTTTTAAGCCCCAAATGCATTAGGTATTTGTCCAAATGGAACTCAGCAGTCAGCAAAATATATTAAATTTGTCAGTTCTAGAATAACTCTTGTTGCCTACCTCCACATTCACATTGGTGATGTCTACTCCCTGTCCTCACTCCTGAGCACCTGTCACCTCAGACCACACCACTGAAGCTGACCACCCCATGACCCCCAACCAAGAAAGGGTAAGCCAACACAGAGAAGCCAGGGTGGGCGCTCAGAGAGACTCCTGGGTCTGGTCACTTCTGTGGGTCCACTAAGCCTGTTCCTGGTACCCCAATATCACTAAGTGGCCCAACTTAGAAATACTAGAATCAACTCCTCTGCCTTCCCCCTTATTCCACAGGTCAGCAGGGACCAAATCCTATCAATTCTATTTCCTGGTTATGCTACTTGAATCCTTCCCTTTCTGCCTCTCCAGCAAGTCTGGCTCTGCCGTCACTCACCCCTCGTGCCCTCTCACCCAGATGTCTGCCTGCTCTCATGGTTCTCCAATCACCTCTCCAGAATGCCACAAAAGCTGGCTCTAGAAAATACAGATCTGATCCTTGTACTCTCCAAACTGAAAACCATGGTGACTGCAGTATACTCTCCAAACTATCACTAAAGAGGAAGGGGGATGTGAAACATATACAGTACATTACTCTCTGCGATCTTCCTCTGTGCTATCAACAAGCAAGAAAAAAGAGATCTGGAGAAAACAGATGTGGAGGATACATGCAGAGGACCAAGAACCAAGATTTTATTCAGATTTCCTTCCGTTTTTACTTGGCTCATCTATATTTTGGGTCAGTTTTTTAGAACTCAATTTGACTTTTAATCATTAAAAATGATCCTAGAAGCATGTCCTGTGAGGCACTGCCAAGTCGCATTGATGCATTTCATTACTGCTTGAAAGGCCACATATTCAAAACACTACTAGAAGTCAGGCTAAAGAAAATAAAATGATTTTGGATATTTTTAAGCAGTTACTAAAACAGAAACAAATGTTATTTTTAATCTCTGGCTCACTGTAAACTGACAAGATATGAATATGAATTTTACCAAGTAATGTATAATAACTGCTTCTGCTCACCACAACCACATGCCAACAACTCAATTTTATATTTCATTTCGATGTTACATGTGGAACATATAATCTAGATTACAAACCATCCTCATTACAGTCCATTTACTCTAGCTAATTTTTGATAGCATGACATCATTAGCATAAAAAAGCTTAGTGAATAACTATTCTGAAATTTGCTTTTATAAAAGTCCTTGCAAAGTTTTACATTTCTAAACAAGTGAAAACCAATAGCTGAAAAATTGTAAGATGATGCCATAATTGTCCAAATGTTGCTCAGTTCACCAACAGGCTTACTGAGTAGGTTCTTTAGAAAGAAATTCTGCCAGGTAGTTTGTAATAAGAAGTATCTGCTATGGATCATGCCTTTACAAAGTTTACATTCCAGCAGGGAGGAAAGCATGTACACAATTGGCACTTTTCTTTTCTTTCTTTTTTTTTTTTTTTGCAGTAACGTAACAGAATAAGAGAAGTACAAAAGAGCTACAAAGTCTCAAAAGAGGAACCATTTTATGCAGGAGAGGGTATCAGGAAAGATTCTGGTAAGAAAGTGGGCCTCAGGAGCTAGGCAGATGGGAATTTTGAACTCTAAGTGTCTATTTCTGAAGTGAAACTAATCAATGTGTTTCTACAGTTAACATTTATTGAGCAACTACTATGTGTCACAAAGTTCATAAATGTTATCTCTAAGCTTCCAAACAAACATGGAATGACAGCCTGGTTACAAATGATTAAAAAGGGACTCACAGAGTCTATTAACATTCCCAAGAGTCATTAGTTCTTACTGAACATTAGTAAGCCAAAGGCATATTTATATCAACACAAGAGTTAATCACACAGAAAAGATGACAGTCTTAATTCGAACAATCAAGGGTCAAAATCATTATATATTTTGAATACGAATATGGTTGAATATGACAAGGATTTGAATACGTCAAAACACAAATCACATTCCCTGACATGTAACTGAAATGACAAGAATATCAAGAACTTAAGTACATGTTTATTCTAACCTCTAACATCAGTATTATGCAATGATTTCATTTTAAACTAAATGATTAAAATGTACCTTTGTTTTAAAATAGGTATTTGAGTTTCTACAGCAGTGTTTCTCCAAGTGTGAGCCAAGGACCTTTTATGTTAAATGAATCACAGGAGGGTGCTCGTTAAAAGTACAACTCCTGGGCCCCACCCCTGACCTATTTAACATACTTTAAGGCCCAGGAATCTGAATTTTCAACAGGACTAAGTTGTATATTCAAGTCCTAGGGCCTCTGGTCTAGAGTTTCCTCCCCACACCTTTCCCCCCAACACGTTTCCCTCTTGTTTACTCCCTTACTGAAATGTGTCTTTGCCAATTTAAACAATTACTTTTCAACATCCTCCAAATGTTTTCTGTGTCATACTGCATTAAAAGAAAAATTACTTCTAAACACTAAAATTATACCACAGGAAAAAAAAAGGCTTTTTTAAAAACCCATTTTTATAACACTTCTTTTGCTACATCTAGCTCAAGTCAGCAAAATGTGGCTCTAGTAAATGCCTTGGAGTCTGTGGTAGGCACAACAAGGGACCTTCAAACATACCCACGTCCTAATCCCCAGAATCAGTCTGTGAATTCGTGGTAAAAGCGATTTCACAGATGTGATGACATTAAGGATCTGGAGATGGGGAGATGATACAGGTGGGTCCAATGTAATCGCAAGGAAGTTTAAAAGTCTGAGAAGGAGGAAGAAGTGTCAGAGGAAGATTCAACTATGGAAACACAGCACAGAGAGATGCAACATTGATGGCTTTGAAGATAGGGGAAGGGGCCAGGAGCCAAGAAATACAATGGCATCTAGACAATGGAAAAAGGTGGGCCAGGCACGATGGTTCATGCCTGTGATCCCAGCACTCTGGGAGGCCGAGGCGGGTGGATCGCCTGAGGTCGAGAGTTCGAGACCAGCCTGGCCAACATGGAGAAACCCCACTCTAGTAAAAATATAAAATTTAGTTGGGTATGGTGCTGGGCTACTCCCAGCTACTTGGGAGGCTGAGGCAGGAGAATTGCTTGAACCTTGGAGACGGAGGTGGCACTGAGCCAATATGTGCCACTGCACTCCAGCCTGGGCGACAGAATGAGACTCCGTTCCCCCCCGCCAAAAAAAAAAAAAAAAGAAAAGAAAAGAAAGAAAACGGAAAAGGCAAGGATATGAATTATTCTCTAGAGTCCCTACAGAGAATGAGCCTGGCTGACACTTTGATTTCAGCCTGGTGAGACCTGTATTGGATTTCTGACCTGCAGAACTGTCAGATAAAAACAGTTGCTTTAAGCCACAAAGTTCCTGATAAGTTGTTACAGCAGCAATGAAAAACTAACACAGGTGCTTTGAAGAAACTCAGGTCACCTCTAACACAAAGGCCATGGCCCAGCCAGCCACCCACATACTTTCCGGCTTTACCAAACACATAAAGACAGAATCCCAAATATTAATTTGGCACAAATGGGATATGGCCCGGGTAGTTTATTTTCATGCAATGCTGCTACCTCTTTTCTCCGTTTCCTTCCTTATCCTGCTCTTCCCACTCACGCCTGCAGCTTACCTCCTCACCTTTGTCAAGGCAGGCTGATTTATCAGCTTGGAAACTATGAGAAGGAAAGGGTCTAAGGCAGGGTTTCTCAACTCCAGCACTATTAACATTTTGGGCCAGATGATCCTTGGTTGAGGCAGAGGACTGTTTGGTGCATTGTAGGATATGATATTGATTGATTGATTGATTTTTAAAAATCATTCATTCATTCATTCATTCAAGAGACCCCTGACTCTGCTGCCCAGGCTGGAGTGTAGTGACGCCATCACAGCTCACTGCAGCCTCAAACTCCTGAGCTCAGGCGATCCTCCTGCCTCGACCTCCTAAAGTGCTGGGATTACAGGTGTGAGCCAATGCCCCCAGCCCCATTGCAGGATGTTCAGCAGCATTTCTGGCCTCTACTCACTAGATGCCAGTATTGCTACCTTGTTTTCCCATTTGGGACGATCAAAAAGTGTCTCCAAACATTGCCAAATGTCCTGAGAGGGCAAAATGGTCCCCAGTTGAGATCCACTGGTTGACAGCATGTGGCAGTTAATGTGGTGGTCTGTGTTCTCTCCATCAGTTCCCTCCCATACATGGAAATGCTCTAACGTGTTTTATATATATATATATTCTTACATTGCTGCTGGTCTCATTCAAATGAGTCTCCCAAGGATTCAGTCTGTTTGACATTTTAAAACAGCTCAAACTCAGAATTCAACCACAGGACTTTTTTTTAAAATGGCCCCACTATACTTATTCCCAGCCACAGGCAAGGGAAACATGGCTTTTCCACAATGACCCGCAGCCCAACCTAGCCAACAAGCTCACAATTCATCCATACTGCTGCTACAGAGGCGACAGAGGTCAGCACTTGCTATTTGACTGTTACAGAGAACTTTCTTTTTTTTTTTTTTTTTTTTTTTTGAGACGGAGTCTCGCTCTGTTGCCAGGCTGGAGTGCAGTGGTGTGATCTCGGCTCACTGCAACACTGCAAGCTCCGCCTCATGGGTTCAAGCGATTCTCCTGCCTCAGCCTCCCAAGTAGCTGGGATTACAGGCGCCCACCACCACGCCCAGCTAATTTTTTTTTTTTTTGTATTTTTAGTAGAGACGGGGTTTCACTGTATTAGCTAGGCTGGTCTCAAACTCCTCACCTCATGATCTGCCCACCTTGGCCTCCGAAAATGCTGGGATTATAGGCTTGAGCCACCACGCCCTGCCTACAGAGAACTTCCTAAAGTTCACTGCAACTTTATTACCTAGATTTCATTAATAAAAATCCTTTCAATCAGAAGGTTTAGCACAGTGTAGACCAAAGAGATCATTCACTGAAAGGCTGGCTCTGATGGCAAAACAGATGGTTTGGAATGAGATCCTGGGAAATGGCCACTGTACTGGAGTAAGAAATCAATGCTCCTAGAGAAACAGATCATTTCCTCAGCAAGTTTTTGCCAAGAACATGACTTAAACAAACATGTGAAAAGATCCTGTTTTGTGTAGTTCTGAATTCTGCTCAGACTTTCAATTTCAAAATAACAAAGCAGTAAACTGGAAACATAGCCCCCATTCTTTCTGAAATCTTAAACAGACTGCAGCTTCCAAGGTTGGATGTGAAATTCAGAGGCACACAACTCTTTTGGTAGAAAGCTGCAGCCCAGCAGAGCTCTCTGAAGTCTAGGGGGAGGTGGGTGTCTGTGTTGTAGATTGGTGACTTTATAGAATGTGCTTCCAGGAATGTGAGCATACACACCCCTGGCAACTGAAAGTAACCAATGGCTTTTTAACAGATCCACTTTATTTCAACGTTTGGAGATTAACCCGCAATCAAATACTGCCGTATGAGTCCGTGCTAAGACTTCATCATTTCACATTTTCTGTCAAAAGCCTTTCTTCAATTGCACCATAGTCCCATAAAATCTGAAAATATCACATGACTGAGGATCTAAGAGCCAAGGTCCTGAATCACACAACATACTCATTAGGGAATCTTCTCCCTTTCCCCCTTTCAGATATTTTAAAATTAAAACGAAGGGTGGAGGGAATTTATATGTAATGATATTGGCCTGATGGCAGTCAACTTATGGCACACATGAAGGCGAAAGGAGCAGGGAAAGTTTTTTCAGGGAGAGGTGGAGATGGAGCCTACATATATTTAAAATTGGAGGCCAGGTGCGGTGGCTCACGCCTGTAATCCCAGCACTTTGGGAGGCTGAGGCTGGCGGATCATTTGAGGTCAGGAGTTCAAGACCAGTCTGACTGACATGGTGAAGCCCCATCTCTACTAAAAAAAATATATAAAAAAAATTAGCCAGGCATTGTGGTGCATACCTGTAGTCCCAGCGACTCGGGAGGCTGAGGCAGGAGAATCACTTGAACCTGGGAGGTGGAGGCTGCAGTGAGCCAAGATTGCACCACTGCACTCCAGCCTGGGTGACGGAGTGAGACTCTTTCTCAAAAAATAAATAAATAAATAAAAATAAAATAAAATTGTGATGCAAGACACTGCCAAAGGAGAAGCGGACAGGGTTATGGGGAAGGAACATACACATCATCATACATGTCTCCAATATAGAAAAATGCTGCATTCCCAAATGCTGCATTATGAATGAAAACATCAAGGCAGGTAACACCATGAAGCCTGTGTCTCTAATCTGGCTACCCAAATAAGGCTACTAATGCTCATCAACAGGGTAGTATTACATTGGTAAGTGTGAGTGAGTTTGCAATTCGATGAAAAAAATATATATACAACTGAAGATTTCTAAAAGATAATTCACTAACTTACATTCACCCTTTTACATGGCTAGTCAAGAAGAGCAAAAGAATGCTCTTACATGGACTGAGACTCAGGTTTTAAGACCCTGCCAGATTTAATAACCTCTAACTTTTTACCTTGAAAGTTACTGAAGTATATAACACAGTTGTATAAAATCAATGTACAAAGTAGTACATTATTTCAAAACCCACAATTAACAGCCTATGAAAACCAACTCTTTCTGGTATTAGCACTAGTTTCATACATCCTTTTAAATGTTAGGGACATTGAAACATCTTACTTCTTCATTACTGAGTGCCTACTTTGTGCTAGGCCCTGAGGATACACATGAGTAAAATATGGTCCTTGCACTCTCCATCTAGTTGTGGGGAAAATAAACAAACAATGGCAGAGTATGCCACGATTATGAAAGAGGAAAGCAGTCTGAGTGGTGGAATGGATTCTTCTTCCTATAAAAAGAATATAAAATTGGGTTTCCTATCCTGATTCCCAACTCACAAATTAAAGTTTCGGTTATGGACTGCTTGTTGTGATAAAATAATTTTAGTATGATTCCTTCTGGTTGGAAACATCTTCCTACCAGATTTAACTACAAAACTGACCTCTACTCTGGAATGTTCAACTGGCCAAGAAAAGTGTTACATCAACACCAATCACTTTTTTTTTTTCTATTCCATCACAAGATTGGGGATATCATTGTGTTCCTTTCCTCTTATGTCCACTGAACCCTCTGCTGTATTTTGTAGCCTTTCAGATCTAGGCGTTTGTCTCATTTTGCTGTTTCATTTTATTTTCACTTAACTAGTTAACACTTTTTTTAAAACAATGAATGAATCATGTCTGTAGTGGCCACTGCGAGCAAAGCACCATGGGAAATGTAAAAAGGAACAAGAGGTTGTCCTTGTCCTTAAAGATTTCCAACCTGAGTCAGGGAGACAAACATGTAAACAAACAATACGGTGTGAATCAAGGGGAATGTGGGTGAGCGCTGAGAGATGACGAGCAAAGAACTCTGCTGGCAGAGAGCTCCCAGCTGCAACACAGGCATTAATTACGTGTGCTCTGGGAGAGGGGAGTCTTCTATTTTTTGATTCCCCTCCCCAGAATCAGTGCTATTTGAAAATCCCACGTAGGTAAGAGGACAGGGAGGCATACAAAGCCTAGCCATGTTATTTTTACAAGTCAAATATGCTACTGCGTTTATCTAATACTTAGATAAAAATTATTTTTCAGGCCATTGCTTATTGAATTTTCTCTCTGTGTCCTCATCATTAGGTCAGGAGTGGTTTCCAGTAGGTGCTCCACAAAGAGCAAAAAGATGGGGATACAAAACTTGTATAGTAGAATTTTTTTTCCAAGTCCTATTTATCTCATCTGTTTTGCCTGTATCTTGCTTCATTCACACCAGAAAAAGCTGACACATTTGTGCCGTTGTCTGCTGAAGGTTAGTCTTCATGAAATTTAACATGAACATTTGTCCTTTCAAGCAGCTAATTCCTTTTTAAGCAGCTAAATGTTCACCTATGTCTTTCACGGGATGACTAATTGTGAATGTAAGCAAGACAACTGATGAAATTCAGATATAATTGTTTACAATTTTCTATTACTGCTCTTAATTCATTCTGTTTCTGTCAACTATCATACCCTATTTTCTATATTTACAGTGCACTTGAAATTGTTTATGCAACTTAAAAAAATTAAATGGTCATCTGAAAAGTGTTTGGTGCACTCGAATGAGATTTTTTTCTTGCAACTTTTATCAGGGGCTGTTTGCCTAAAAACTTGCTGCTCTAGCCAAAATGTTTTTAGCACAAAATTCTAGCAATAACCTCAGAGCTATCTTTTCTTTGCCACTTAATTTTACCAAGAGCAAAAAGAAGGGAAAAAAAAGTCTCTTCATTTTGCCATTGCATGGCAAAAATGCACATTAACTTAACTCTTCTATGGCAGAAATACAAATGAAATATGTCCAATGCCAATGTTTAAGTTACTTTTAGGATTTCCGTTGACTATCTTATTTTTTCATAATCTGACTTCTTGGATATCTATTTTAATTCTTTTGATTTTGAGAAAATGTACATGTTTGTACCAATTCTAAAGTCTCAGCCAACTATTCAATATTTTCAGCGATTTAGGTAAATCTTACTTCAAATTCTTACTAACAATGCCACATAGTATACCAATCATTATCATTTTTATTCTATCTTATATTAGAAGATGGCTTTTAAGCCAAAATGTTATTTTCTTACAGTTAGTTTGATATGCTATGCTCACAGAGAACCTGGCTGTCTTTTGGCTGGGATGTTCCCAGCTAAAAATGAGAAATCAGAGACAGAAAGCTGAGTAGGAACATAGGATGTGGAATTAAGATTGACCTTTATAGAATATTTTTATCATTCCTAAGAGATTGGAATATTCAGCATACTAATAATTTTCTGATTTAAATATAAGTAGACATCACCATATTAATTTCACCAAAAAAAATGTTTAAGTTAATTTATCAAAAGGAAGGCAGGGAAAGAGAAAAAGAAAGGAGTGAAGGGGCTGGGTGCGGTGGCTCACGCCTGTAATCCCAGCACTTTGGGAGGCCGAGGCGGGTGGATCACCTGAGGTCAGGAGTTCGAGACCAGCCTGACCAACATGGTGAAACCCCATCTCTACAAAAACATACAAAATTAGCTGGCTGTGGTGGAGCATGCCTATAATCCCAGCTACTTGGGAGGCTGAGGCAGTAGAATCGCTTGAACTCGAGAGACAGAGGTTGCGGTAAGCCGAGATCACGCCACTGCACCCCAGCCTGGGCAACAAGAGTGAAACTCCATCTCAAAAAAAAAAAAAGAAAGGAGTGATGGAAGAAAAGATGGATGGATGGATGAATAGATGGATGGATAGGTGGGAGGGTGGATGGATGGACAAATAGATAGATGGATGAATGGATGGGTGGATGGATGAATAGATGGATGGAAGGATAGATGAATGGATGGGTGGGTGGGTGGACGGATGGGTGGAAGGATGAATAGATGGATGGATGGGTGGGTGGATGGATGGATGGATGAGTTAGTGGGTGGATGGATGGATGGATGGATGGATGGATGGATGGATGGATATATGGGTGGGTGGATAGGTGGATGGGAGGATAGATAGATGGATAGGTGGGTGGGTGGATGGATGGATGGATGGATGGATGGATGGATGGATGGAAGAATACAAGGGAGGAAGGAAAAAAGGGAGAAAGGGGGGACAGAAGTAGGGAGGCAAAGAGAAGGGAAATATAGTGGAGTGAGTTTTTATGTGGGCGGTTAAGTTCAAAAGTTAAGCAAAAGTCATATATAGTCAAAATTAACTTTGAAAATCCTTTGGCTTTCCCACAAGACACTCCACACAGGATTTTATGTATACTGCACAATCCTTTACTGCACTTTTCATGTACACTGAAGTGTGATAACTATTGGGTTAGACTACAAGAAAGAACTCAATGGAAGAACACATGTAAAAGTCTGTACATTCAAACCATTCCTCTTTTAAAATTAAGTATTGTATCACTACAGTTAAACGGGGGGATTAGATAAAGATAAGTAAAATATTGGTGTTTTCCAGCAAGTATTACTTCATTCTGTTGTAATAGTAAGCTTCTTTAACTTTAATGAATATTAACAAATGTACTGTTGTTAAAGTTAAAGGAACTGTAGGATCTCCTATTGAGTTCATAATGTGGTAATATTAAGAGTAATTTTTAAAATAATTTCTTTTAAAGATAAATATTTAATGTGATTGCTATATTATCTGCCTTTTCAAAAAGTTAAAGCACATAGTCAAGTAAGTGTCAAAAATTTGCCAAGGCCCAATACACCTTTATTTTTCTTTCCTAGTTTTTCACTGTCTTGAAGTCTTTTACCCACAGTCTCCCATATTCAATACAGATAATAAATTCTATCAGAATGTGTAAAGTTCAAATAGGTATCAGAGGCTGCTGCCCTGCCTCTTTGCTCTGTACTCTTGTTTTTTTCTGGTGGGAGCAGAATTGGCCTGTGTAGAGGGTCAGGGGTAGACCCAGGCATCTTTGGGACACTGTAACTAATTATCACAACATTTGCTTTCAGAAGCCCCAGAAAGGCCCCCTACCCCCCAAACATGTCCTTCTGTTCCTTCCTTTTCTTTCTTTTCCTTCTCTAATCTACAGTGTGCTGAGTTCCAAAGCAAATTCTCATCCATTATACTTTTCAGCTTCTTTTTTGAAACATACATTCCTCCGGGAGGATTAACAAACTGAGATACTAACAAGCTGTGTGGTTCATTCATCAGACCCTTCAAGGGAAGAAGGACCCAGGGCAGCTCTGACACTGGGGCAGGGGTGAGGCATCACCCAAGAGAGAGCAAGGGGCAGGTTCCAGAAAACAAGGGAAACCAGTTACTGTCCTATGCTCCAACTGCCTAAACCTTAAAATGAAACAAATACAAGTAATGGGTGTTTTTCACTGTTATATACAAGGCAGCCTATTGGCCACATAATTCTTAAACAACCAGAAAAAAGCTGAAGTATGACCATCAATACGGGACATGGAACATGCCAAAAGATCGAAAGATTCTTTCTTCCCCCTCTTTAGGACTAAACAGCTGTGGGCATAAAGAAAAAATAAATTCCATTATTTTAGAAAGCATAATATTCCACCCTTCATTATTTCTTTGAGAATGGTTGGAATTATTACATCTACGAGAGGTTAGCCTCTATCGATTGAGTGATTTCATTAAAAAAATTAAACCAGTGATTGAGCTAAAATGAGTGGCCAAGCTACAAGACCAAAAATTGTGTGTGGTCAACAGGTGAGAGGAATGTGGAATATAGGAGCTACCTAATCAATTCCAAAGGAAGGGAGACATGATGATGATGATTGTTATTTCTCCCCACCAATGGGACAGTGCTCCAGTAGACCCCAGGATCTTCTATTTAATGGCTGTTGTAAGACTCTATCTCTGTTCCTCTTGGAAGAAAAGGTGCCACTGAGGACAAGGGAACAAGAATCTGTGTCAATCAACAATGCCCCTGAAGTAAACCAGGCAGGTCCGCACTGCACAGTCTCAGCTGTAATTCTATCCCAAGAAACCAGAGCACAGGACCAGAGCCACACTTAAGCCTGCAGTGTAGGGTGACGCCATGGGGCCACGTGACAGCCTGCCTCTCCAAAGCTGTTACTGTCAGTAGTATTTAGAGGAAAGGAAAAAAGTTGTAACAAGTGTAACACGAACATTAAGGAATACCAAGTCAGAGCCAATTAGGACGATAATTTGGCACTCCTGCCTCATGCATATGAAAAAGGATCCGCCATCAATGAGCAATAATGCATGGGATTTGTGGGAATGCTCTAACTTCAATACATCAAAGACGCTGCTGCACACCTCCGTCTTTTTTATTCCCATTAGCTCACCCTTGTCTGGATGAAAGAGCTCAGTGAATCAACTGCTTCTGTTGAACTGTTTATATATTTTTCAAGTCATGATTAGGCCATTAGTCACTGAGCATATTGCACAGTAAACTAGAGTAACTGCCATTATGCAACTTCCCAAGAACATACAGAGAGCATTTACAGTGAGGCCACAGTGCCAGCAAAATGTGCAATGGAGACTATTTATCAGCAATTATAAGAACTGTGCATTTAAATGCCAAATAAAATATACACGTGGCAGATACAGAACTTGAGGGGGAAAAGATGCATGATTAAAGTACCAATATTTGCTCTTCTGAATGTATTAGAGCCTGAAAACGAAAGTCCCCCTGAACCAGAAGCGAATCTTGAACTCAGTCTCAGTTAGCTTGGTTAGCCGCTGTTCTCCTTCCGAATGCCCCCATACCTGCCAACATCTGTATCTGAACACACTCAATGTTGGGTCCAACATAAGGAATTTCCCTTCTTCTTTCTTATTAAAGATTCCCAGGCCTCAGCATCACCCCCTACCCAAGCACTTGGATAATTCAGTAGAGGCCACTGGGGAGAACTTTTTTTTTTTGAGATGGAGTCTCACTCTGTCACCCAGGCTGGAGTGCAGTGATGCAATCTCAGCTCACTGCAACCTCCACCTCCCAGGTTCAAGTGATTCTCGTGCCTCAGCCTCCCAAGTAGCTGGGATTACAGGTGTGCACCACCACACCCAGCTAATTTTTGTATTTTTAGTAAAGATGCAGTTTCACCATGATGGCCAGGCTTGTCTCGAACTCCTGACCTCAGGTGATCTGTCCGCCTCGGCCTCCCAAAGTGCTGGGATTACAGGTGTGAGCCACCGCGCCTGGCCTCTCTGGGGTTTTCTGAAGCCACATAGACTTACATGTTTGAGGATTTCCCATTCAAAGTCCTAAAGAACACTAATAGAAGAAAAAGAAAGGAACATGTAAAAGTGGCATTTAATTTATCAGGACCCTTAGTCACATTCACATACATTGCCCATGATAAGCCAGTGACAAATATAATTGAAGTTTTAAAGTACATGTGCAAGGGATCAGCTACTTGAAACCTCCCAGCAGGAAAACAAGAAATAAGGGACCATGAGGAAGAGATCCAGGTCTCCACATTTACTGTACAAGTAATAACATAAGCAAGAGACTTCCTAAGAGTGTTTTATAGTATTTTACATGGCAAGACTCTTACTCTCCAGTCTGTTAATCCTCACTTTCCCGCTTCTATTCATATGCTTTATATGTATTTATTTGTTGAGTTATATATTTTAGCTGAACTTGGAATGACAGTTATTTTTAAGAGGCTACCAACATGGGTCAGGAAGAACCTCAGAAACCTGGCTCACAGTTGCTCTGGCATAAAAAGCCTTGACCGCCAAAACCAACCAGGGAGTTGATGAGATCTAGGTTTCCAAAACACCACGAAAAGGCATCTTTTGCTTTCTCCCATCTGGCCATTAAAAAAAAAAATAGTTATTTACCAAAGAAGATTCTTTTTGTAATACAATCAATCACTTCCTCCTGTGTTTAGGGTTCAAATCTAGAAGTCCATATGTCAGTCTAGCTTAGAGCAAAATGTAGCTTTCTTCACCTTGGACTAGAACAACCTATGAGAGAAAGATGGTGCCCAATGGGCCAGCACACAGCTGCTTTCTAAATTGACAGCCCTGAGCTTCTCCATGGACAGTGTTCCAAAACTAACTGTGGCTGTTAGGATAAAGAGGGCAGTTTCTCAGCTTCAGTGCCTTTAAGGTTATTTCAACTTTCCACCTCTGTTAACTACGCTGCAGAAACTTTTGACACTGAACTCTCCTTAATATCCATAAGCCAGAGATGTTCATTAGAAAAATTTCTCACTCCTCATCAGACAGCTGAAGACCTGAGTCCTTTGTCTTCCCCTATTCTGGAGATCACATTGAAGGGATTTTTGGGCTACCTGAAAGTGTTTATGACAGACAGACTCTTGGATTCAGGCTTAGGACAAGCAAACCTTTCATATGAGTCCTTAAAAACAGACAGTGCTCTGTTTGTAACTTTGAACTCCATTCTAGTACAAACATGCTTGGCAACTAGTGCCGGAGGGTTAACCAGAGAGTTTTCTTCCTGGCAAATTGCTCTGCCGCCACCATGGGTATTAACACTCCAGGATCCCTGCAACTTTCCCTTCTTCCTCTATTCCTCATCCCCTGCCCTGAGATATTATCTGTGCCCAAGCTGCAGGGGTTGAGGTCACACATCTGGTGCCAAGGAGCTGTCAGTGCCTCCAGCAGTGGCACAGTTCATGGTTCACGGTTCTTCTCCTGGCCCCTCCCTTGGTCTGGCATGCTGACAGAAAATTGTTCTTTTTTTCATCATTTGTCTGTGACTCAGAGGCAGACCATGGGGCCAACAAATCCAGCCCATGATCACGCTTGAAGGCACAGGGATATCTAGAAGTCATCCCCCAAACTTCAGGGACTATTGTCAAACCTTCTTGGGATACAGACATATTTCTCAGATCTCCTTTGGAAAGATCTTAGACTTGCTTGACAGGGGTCCTTGGAGATGATCAAATCCATAACCCTCCTCTCATTTTAAAGTTTTCTTTATTGGATTCTTTATGGGAGACCAAGTTCCTTATTGGATTGCTTCCTGTGGACCAAGGATGATGTTTTCTAGGGACTTATTGAAACTTGAGAGTCGGAAGTGGTCTGAAGGATTGTTTGATTTAGTGGTCCTGTGAACTGACATTGCCTAATAGCTGTTGTAACATAAAGATTCTCAGGTCTCAGCCCCACCCCTTACCCAAACCCTTGGCTAATTCCACAGAGGCCTGTCTCACTCTGTCGCCCAGGCTGGAGTGCAGTGGCTCTCCAGGGTTTTCTGAAGCCACATTTGAAAACCACTTATATAACCCAACTTCCTCATTTTCCTAAGGCTCAGAGAACTTCGGTTATTTGCCAAAGGCCGCACAACAGTTAATGACAGGCCTAAGACTTCCACCCAGTTCCCAGCGTGCTCAACCAGTGATGGTCTTTGCATTTACTTTCTGAGCATTTAGCGTTCAGTAAAACCTCAATCATTTACTCTCTGCTAATAGAGATAATGTATTCTTAATGAATATATAATTCAATTTCCTTGAATGTATTATATAACCTATAAAATTTTAGGATCTTATTAGCAAGTTAAATGTCTCCTTTCTTAAATTAGGGCTGGTTTTTTTTTTTTGAAGAATTAAGGATTCTTCATTAATTCGCCTTCATGTTCTAAGAGTGATAAGAGACTTCACGGGAAACAAATCAGAAGCACAAGTGAGTGAAATTTTCTTTAGGACAACGAAAGAAATGGTCAATGAACTAACATATTTGTTAACTTCTACAGACAACACACACACACACACATACGTACATGCACACACACATACACACACACCCTCCCACTTCTGGCTCCAGAAATTACTTGTTACTTACTATGTGGGAAGGAATTCAAATGCTTTCACTGTTATGTCAGGTCAATCTGTTAAGTGTATTGTAAATTTTTGCCACATCAGTATCCCACTTTGATCACTAATGCCATTTGTATATTAGCTTGTAATACACACTGATCATAAAGCAATAAAACTGCATTTTGCTAAACTTTAAAAATGAAGGCTTTTGCCCAATGACACTGACATCCTCACGCCACCACCTCCCCGCCCCCATTATTCAGAATAAGTGGAGTGTGGAGCATTGGGTTTTCCCTTTCTGGGGAGGAACAAATGAATGAGTAACTAGTGAGGGCATCTTAGGGAGTTCCCCCGCCCACAGACTATGAGGCATCTTGATTTGAAAGGAATACACAATATTGCTGCTGCACCCACACCACACGCACACAAAAACACTTTTAAAGTTGACTTCTTACATAAAAGCCAGCAGTACTCCCTGCTAGAATCTGAAGAAAAGAATATTATTATTACTATTATTATTTTACTGGCAAGGCCTTTCAGGGGGTTATGCTTCATTCAATTGAGCCTAATTGATAAAGCTAACACATGTTTACAGGTAATAAAAATGAAGTACTATCTACATGGAAACAAATCAGGGAGCAGAGGAACCAGTCATTATTCATTCTTTAAACTGTAAAAACTAAAATGTTCTCTAAGCATTATCAAGTCCTAAACAAAAATATAATTTCACAAAGCAAAGACATTCATTTTATCGTTCAATAAATTATTTTAAGAGCAGAAAGCACTGACTTTAGCTTTACTGGTATATTTATTTGTTATCTCTGTTCTTAAAAATGGAATATTTCCAGGGACAAAAAGTATAAGTAATACGTGATTAATATGGTTTCATATATTTTAAAAATATCTGACATTTAAAACAATATCTTAATACCGAATATTCTTAATGAAAAGTTCTGTTTTTTTTGAAAAGTCCTCCATACATACATGTCAATTCACAAAAATGCAAATTCTAAAAATTACTCAAAATGCATTGTCTTTTCGCTTCCTGATACTATATTTTGCAGTGCATGGTGGCAAAGGCAATAAGGTTTTTGGTAATACCTTGTTACACAGATTATTTATAGTCATCCCAAAACATACATAACACAGAGTCTTAAATTTTAAAACCATATCAGATACTAAAATATACAACTTATCCTTCCAGGTCTTTCCTAAAAGGTATACATACACTTCCGAAGTAGTATAAAAAAAAGAGGTCATTTCAAATCTGATAACGCACTGTGAATTAGTGAATTATCTTAACAACACTGTCCTAATTAAGACCAATAAGAAAGCCATCCATCCAATATTCCACGAGACAGCCAGGCTTCCCGTTGTGTAATTATTCACCTCATAGTGGTCCACCTTGAAGGCATGCAACACATTATGCCGAAAAGAGATATTTATATAGAAGGGAATTACTTAGGACATGCGGATGTCCCTAAAATAAAGATTCTTGACCACTCGAGCTACTCAGTATTTCTCTCTAGGCTAGAAACAGAAAAGATTAAATAACATATTCATATGGGAAGTCAATTTTTCCATCAATGAAAAGCAAGAAACCGTAAGAGCATTTCAAGGCAAGATCTTTTAAAGTCCTACAAATATTTAAGTATAACCTCTCTACACTTTTTAAAAATACAGTTTATTTAAAGATATAAGGAAAGTCCATCAAATAAACAAGAAATATTTACTGAGAACCTCCTTTGTGGCCAGGATTATGTTTCTATCTAAGTCCCATGAACTTGGAGCATATTTACAAAATTATTTAACTTTATAAAGTATTTCAATGAATAATGCAGTCTTCCAAAATGTGCATGGGGCTGTAATTCCATCTAGTGTTTACAATGACACTATAAGCCTTGGATGGAATTACAATCTTAATGGGAACAATCAGAGTGCACTACTCCATATGCTCAGAGAATTCAGGATGAACTCAACTTCTAAAATAAAAAGCACCAAGCCATTGGCATGTAATTACAACCAGGAGGCCAAGCTGTCTGCTTGCTAGTATATGAGAAATGCTCAATTGAAAGTACCATCTCACCTTATTGTAGCAAAACCTATTTAATGTATCTGAAAAACCTCTTCCTCTCCAAAATTAAACTTTCGACTTTCGTGATGAGAAAATTTCCACAAGGGTCTACCACATAGAGGTGATATATATCGGGTGATGACAAGATTGTCTGGATGCTACCAATAAAATCTAAGAATCTTCTAATACCACCTACATGCACCTAAACTTAAACTCTGAAAAGTACAATGTATTAAGAAACAGGAAAAAAAATCATGCTCAAGAGCCCTTTGAAATTACTGGCATTTCTTCTAATTTTTGGGGGCTAGTCTGACATTTATTAGCATAAACAAAGCAAAGTGCCTTGTGTCCGCAAGAGGGAAAAAAAAAAACTTTAGAGAGATTAAACTCAGAGTTGTAGAAAAAGTTTAGAAACGGATTTAGAATTTCGCAGGAAAAAGAAAAGACAGTGACACTATGAATCAGCATTTTCGTATAAGCAGCCTGGAATCAAAGAAGAAATACACACACACACACACACACACACACACACACACACACGGAGGATACAGCACCGTGAAGAATGAAGACACAAATGCATACAAATTTAGTCTGTATATTTATATTTAGAATACAAATGGCTTCTACGGTCTTTTTGTGCCTTTATCATACCTAACTTTATCTGGTACTCATAGAGGTCACCAAAGCTGTATAAAATCATAGCAACCAGAAAACTAAAGGAAACAAACACCTCTGGCAGAAATCCTCACCAAACAAAGTATAAGGCATAAAGAAACTATACTTTCATTGGCCACTTTTAACATAGCCATGCTTCTACCTGTGAAGGTATGGGACAATTCCATGAAAACTGAGTTCACGGAGGGCCCTCCTGTGGGTTATGTATCCTGGGTTCCAGCATAACCCCTGGTTGAGAACTTACTATTAACATTAGCTCTTCAATTTATTTTCATGATCCAGGGACTTGTGTATATTGTATCACAGTGGTTACCTAAAATAAAAAGTAACCAGATAGGAGACAGTAAAACAATATTGATGAATTTCCATGAGAATGAGACATATCATTTAGGAGCTTTACTTAAAAACCTTCCTGCTAAACAAACAAAAAAGGACTAATGCGATATCTGTCTCTTGGGGTCTCCCATGCTTATGAATTGAGAAAACACACTTGATATAAGTAAATGAAGAAACAATAGTTGAAACAGCCCTGAAGTGACAGAAAAAATGGAAGTAGGGTTCTAAGCTCAACTCCAGAGGCAAGGTGGTACAGAATACCAGCTGGATGAACAGTTCAAAGCTTCCCTAGTTGAGGGTCTCTACCTCAATGACAGACAAAACTCCTAACTTTGGCTTTCTCCATAGAGCATCAACCAAATTCAGTAATGATGAAGTACCTGCTTAACACTATAGGTTGAATAACTTTTGACAAGCTGTAACATCCTGTTGGTGGAAAATAGCCAGCCTTGCTCAACATAATATTGCAAACCCAAAACAGGGTAATTGTGCAAAGAGAGAATTTTGTGTATGTCCCCTTTCCAGAAAATATTCTGGGTGACATCCAATCTGCTTTTACCCGGCTCACTTATTTACAATTGGGGCTGCCTAAAATGCAATGCCATTCTAAAACTACCAATAAACTATTTTGTGAAATCAAGTTTAGTAACTTGAGATTCTCATTTATGATATCCCTGACAACCACCAAAACCTGATTAGACATCTCTCTCCTTTGTCTAGGTGCTTTACTGAAAAAAAGCATGGAAATAGACTTGGAGATGCATGTGTGTGTATGTGTGTGTGTGGTGTGTATACATGTGTATTGCATGTGTATGTACATATATAGTATGAATATGTGCGCATATGTGTACGTGTATATGCAGATGTGTATATGTGTACTCTGTGTGTGTGTATGTGTGTGTGTGTCCATGTATTTAAACACACTGCTTTTCCTATATGCAGCAGGAATTTCCTATCTGGCATATGAAGACAATACATACTCTTTTGGATGGAGCTGGTGAGTCAGGCAGTGTTTTGGAACTGCAATACTTGAGTCTGCATGACTCATGAGGAAAGCAAGTCTGGGGTCTGGGACTGTTGTATCAAAATGGGAAGGAGTGGGAAAGAAGATGGCTTTTTATAATTTAAATTTTTATTTTTTATATTGTTGTAAGTTTTTACTTTTGAGACAGGGTATCACTCTCTTGCTCAGGCTAGAGCGCAGTGGCATGATCATAGCTCACTACAGCCACAAACTCCTGGGCCCATGGGATCCTCCCACCTCAGCTCCCGAGCAGCTGAGACTACAGGCAAGAGCCACCACACCCAGTCAATTTTTTCTTTTTTTTCCTTCCTTTTTTTTTCTTTTTTTTTTCTTTTTTTTTTTTTTGTAGAGATGGAGTCTCCCTATGTTGCCCAAGCTGCTGTCAAACTCCTGGGCTCAAGGGATCCTCCCACCTTGGCCTAGATTTGTATTTTTAATTGACAAATAATAATTGCATGTAGTTATGGGTTATAATGTGATGTTTTGATATAGCTACATATACTATAAAATGATTATATTAAGCTGATTAATATGTCCATCACCTCACATACTTATTTTTTATAATGAAGACATTTAAAAACGTATTCTTTTAGCAATCTTGACATTTATAATACCTTATTATGAGGGCTAAAAATGAATAATATTAATAATCCTGTACAATGGGTCTCAGAAACTTAGCCCTCTTGTCTAACTGAAACGTCTGTACCGTTTGATCAACCAAAGATGGCTTTTGTTGGCAATTCAATTTTTTTGACAAATTCCTCATTTTTGTCTTCATTTGGAGTTTTTATCCATTACAAGAGAGGAAGATGACACAAGCCAGAATAGAGGAAGATGAAACAAACCACTCAGGATTCTGAAGGGAACACTGGGTTGGGTTTTTTTTAATTTTAATTTTGATGTTTATTATTTGTCTTAGAGACGGGGTCTCACTATGTTGCCCAAGTTGGCCTTGAACTCCTCTGCTCAAGTGACCCTTTGGCTGGGACTGCATGAGCACACCACTGCATCAGGCTCATCCAGTTGAGGTTTTTTAAAATACTGTTTTTGCTCTGATTGGGTAGCCTCAAAGAGGAGGAAGAGAGTCATGATGAGCTTGATTCAGAATCTTCAGCTCTCCACTCTATCAGCAACCTGCCTTCCTTCAAGTCTACTTGGCCCAGTGCTGTTATTCCTCCTCCACTGGCAACTAGATGTGTGAGTGACATTGATTCCTATTACCAGAGGGATTAACTCCAAAGTTCTCTTGAAGGTTTTACAGTTCTTTTCCAGCAGTTCCTCATTCTTCAAAGGTAATTAACCTCTTGATGGGCTTACAGCAGAAGCAGTGTTAGAAGTCCCAACACATTGATGATATGTTATAAACCAGGGGAGAGGATAATTGGAAAATGTATTTCCAGCCTCATTGGAAAATATATTTCCATTTATTGAGAAAAAGTAACTCAAGTGTTTAGGAACATATGAATCACAGAATTGTAGATTGGCAGAGGCCTTAGAAAACCATGCTATTTCGACTTCTACTAATAATGAGAAAACGGAGGTGGAAAGAGGGAGAGTGACCTGCCGAGCCACAGTTACCCAACCAGCACCAATGTAGTCAGTGCTGCCTGGAGCGAGACCTGACCATACTGTGGGGCAGAATCTCCCCTCCAATCCCCTTCATAAAGCACGATGATGCTGTTCAAACACAACCTGTGCCTCCTGTCCTTAGAGCCCCAGATTTCATTTTAGGAGAGGATTACGAAATAATGACTAAGCTCTGAAAACTGAGAATGAGACAAAGGAAGAAAGGGAGATAAGAAGGAAGACAGTAAGAGAGTCAACAAGCAACTTATTGTAGTGTTTGCAATCACTACTTGTGCCTTTCATTACATTTAAATGCATGTCGAAATGACATGATGCAACCACCTTCATGCATTCTGCAGTGAAAAAGATGGTGCCAGGTTGGAATTTCATTGTAAGTGTCGCAGAAATATCCCTTTGGAATCAGGTCCCAAATCATTATTTGCTCCTTTTATCATTGTCATCATCGTGTATCATGGCAAAGCTCCCTGAGGGGAGGAGCTCTGTCTGTCTTGTTCACTATCATATTCCTTACACCTACGGCATCCATGGGACAAGCTAAGTAAAATTTACTGAAAGGCTGAATAAAAACTTCCACATGGAATGAAGAAGAAATATGCATAGTTTGAAAATGCATATGCAGTATTACAGTTTTCTGTAAAGGAAAATGAAAGAAGACCTGTTTAAAATTTAAAACCACATTAAAAGATTGAGAGTTTTTTGTATTTATAAAAAGCTGAGGTATGTTAAAAATGGAAAGCACCTATTAAGCTGTTACTGTCAGTTTCACCTGTTAAGTAGGTACTATTAGTTAAGCCAGCATAGTTCCTGAGTTGCAAAGCATATACAGGCTGAAGTACAATGTCAAGAAAACATGTTAAAGGGTGGTAAATAAATAGCCACTGAGAAGATACTCTGAACAGATAAATAAGAAAAAAGCAAATGTAGTTGAAATAAATGGAAGCTCTAGGCAGTGTGTGGACAGACAGAACAAAAGTGGTCACTGTTTATGCCTTGGCCTGAATGTCTGTGTGCCTCCAAAATTCACATGTCGAATCCTAACTCCCCACGTGATAGTATTAGGGAGTGGAGCCCTTGGGAGGTGCCCTCTTGAATGGAATTAGCACCTTTATCAAAGAACTCCCCCAGGAACTGCTTTGCCTCTTCCACCATGTGAGGATACACAGAGAAGGTGCCATCTGTGAGCCTTAGAACAAGCCTTAGAATAGGCCGGGTGTGGTGGCTCAAGCCTGTAATCCCAGCACTTTGGGAGGCCGAGGCGGGCAGATCACCTGACATCAGGAGTTCGAGACCAGCCTGGCCAATATGGTGAAACCTCATCTCTACTAAAAATACACCGGGCGTGGTGGCACGCACCTGTAGTCCCAGCTACTCAGGAGGCTGAGACAGTAGAATTGCTTGAACCTGGGAGGCGGAGGTTGCAGTGAGCCGAGATCATGCCACTGCACTCCAGCCTGGGCGACTGAGCGAGACTCTGCAAATATGTACTTTATATGATTAATCTATTTGTAACCATTGAAGTAAACATTTTTCTTTGTGCTTTTAAATTCAAACCTCTACCTTAGCAGCCATATCACAGTCACAAATTAACTATATGGCAAGTAATCTGTATGATTACTTTGGGTTCTCAGATGACTTGCTATGTATTTAATGAAGTAAAATTGTAAGTCAAGTCAGATATAGGTAGGTACAATAATATTAACAAATGTAATCAAAAGATTTGTCTATTTTAAAGACTCAAGAAAGACAATTATACCCAATTAACACACACATTCATATGAAGGGTACAAATACCTAATTTTTGGAAAACATTTCATATAATTTTGGCCATTGTAAATATATAAATAATAATAAGAAGAAGACCACTACCGCCACCACCAACAACAAAAACAATAGCAACCACTTTCTAAAACATGAAGGCTAAGGAATAAGCAGTGTGCTGGGCACTTTACCTGTATTCCATTGTGTTCTTACAGGTACATTCCATGTTCTATATTTTCACTTTAGAGATGTGGAAACTGAAGCTCAGGCTAAGTAATGGGCCCAAGATCTCAAATTGGCAGATCTGGGTTCAAAACCTTAGTCAGAACGAGCCCAGACCTCCCATACAGGCAGAGGTCTTTGCAGATGGGAAGATATGGATAGATAAGCTTTCTCCTCTACTTAAGCTCAGTGTATCTGTACACTGAGTAGCCATGTAGCATAATGGTGGAGTGCATGGGCTCTGGAGCCAAAGCTCTAAGTTCAGATTTCAGCTCCGCCACTCACTAGTGCATGCCCTAACTTCTCTGTGCCTCTCAGTGGCCTCAGCTCTGAAGATGAGAATCGTAATAGTACCAGAAGAACTGATATCTACCTACTAACAGGGCCACTGTGAGGATTAAATGAGTTACTACACATACAGCACAAAGAACATCAGAGATGTGAGCAAATGTTTAGTATCCTTTGAAATACTAAAAAGAGCACTGAATTTGAAGTCCAGTGGTCTCCGCCATTGATCTACTGTATGAGCTTAGGCAAGTCCCTCAAGCTTCCTGAGCTCCACTGTCCTCATCTGTAAAAATGGGATACCAGCGGCCTTGCTTCCTTTCCAGAACATCACAAGAAACAAGCAATGGAAGACAAGGTATGTGAAAGGGCTTTGGAAGCTAAAAAGTGCTATATATACCATGTACATGTGAATTATCGTCATCAACTTTCAGCCTCTCAAAGCCAAAGAGGTCAATCTCTATTCCATTCTCTCCTGCCTGAGAATTTAATACTAAGCATCAGTTCCAAAACCTGGACACTGAACTGCTAATCATAACAGAACACATGTCCAGTCACCCAGGACTTGATCAAACAGAACTCTATTAACTACCTCCTTCTGCACACCCACCGTGAGAACATAATTGATGCTCATCATGGCCCTAAAGCACTCCAAGACTCTGAAGTACCTTCAGGGAAAGATTAAATTATGTTCAGCCTAGTTTATTATGAAGTGTATTTAATTATACTCAAATTCTTTGAAAATTGGTGACCTAGGAAAAGCACAGAGAGTAAGTCACAGGCTCTCTGGTAACTGGAAGCCTCTCCTCACCAGTCCACCCCCAGTCACCCTTCACAGAGTTAATTGTAAAAAATACAGTCCACCCTAGGGTAGGAAAAACTGGGATTCCGACACACTAATTATAAAAGTCAAAAGAACTTGGCCTTGCCTAATCTTCAAGGATCACTAATGTGCAGAAATACAAAAGTCAAAACTTGAAACAATGAAAAATTTAATCTACCTAAGATGCCTACATGTTTCAAATAGACTTTTGTTCTTGCTAAGAATGAATTCAATTGTTTGAACAAAAAATAACACAAATATATCACTATCCGATTATCAGTACTCAAAAATATAAAAACAGAGGAGTAAGTTAGTATTATGCTCCTGAGAAGAGGAAATTAACATTTAGTTTACTGGGTAAGTTTTGTCACTTCTTTTTTTTTTTTCTTTTTTTTTTTTTTTTAAGAGACGGAGTCTCGCTCTGTCGCCAGGCTGGAGTGCAGTGGTGTGATCTTGGCTCACTGCAAGCTCCGCCGCCTCCTGGTTCTAGCAACTCTCCTGCCTCAGCCTCCCAAGTAGCTGGGATTACAGGTGTGTGCCACCACGCCCAGCTAATTTTTTGTATTTTAGTGGAGGTGGGGTTTCACCATGTTGCCCAGGCTCGTCACAATTGTCCCTTCTTTAAAAGAAATTATGTCTATGTTAATGAGGAACGTAACAAAATAATGAAAGGCTAAACCGTATTATGGTTGTAAAAGCACAGTTATTTACTTTGTTTAAATTATTTCAACACTGTAGATTATGTTATCTTTTCCGATTAGAAACTGGGAAACACACGTCAGCCTTAAGGACTACATTTCAGAGCTGAGAGAGAAACAAGTGGTCGTCTACAATAACCTTCTATCCAACTCACATCTCCTCTCTGGAGAATTCCTGATAAGAGGGTCCTACTACCTCTGTTTGAACATCTCCAGTGACAGAGGTTTCACTGCTAAATCAATCAGCTTGTTCCATTTTTAGACAGTCCTGATTGCCAGAATGTTCCTCCTCAAGTGGAGTCGAACTCTCCCTAGGGTTAACTTCCCTCCTGTTCTTAGTTCTTGGTTGCGTACTCTACCACCACTTCAGTAAGTGATTTCACTTCCTGTCAGGCCCTTTGCTAGCCTCACTCATTTTATCAGTTAGGTAATGACTGGCTTCTATTCACAATTGTCACTGTTATTCTGTGAACCACAGTGACCATTCTTCACAACCACCTACCACCCACTGAAGTGGTGGCTCTTGGGCACCATGGCTCTTGGGGACCATGGCTCTATGGAGACTATGATGGGCATGGTCCTAAGGCCATTATGGGATATTTTGGACTTTACTGGGGTCCTGCCATCACATACACTGTTTCTCTGAGAAACTTAGACTTACAATCTTTCTGAAAAGGATACATTATAAATTAGTATTTCTACTTTTGGGAAAAATCTGTTTCATGAGAAACAAGGCGTAATTTATCACTCTGTCTTTTAAGCAGTCTTATGAGCCAAGTCAGTGTTTTGATGCATGCATAAAAATTCCATAGCTCCTCCTCCTGCAGTAGAAGCAGAAGTAGCAGAGCTGGCAAACCTGTAGTATCCAGATGACTACCTCTGTTTCCTGGAATAACAGAAGCTGAAGATGAACAGGTCATCATCTCCCAGGTACCACCCAAGTACCCAAGCAAGCCCACCAGGTGTGTGGGACAATTCTAGAGCCCTGGGCCCAGCCTAGGACGGAGACAGCTTCTGAAGTTCTTAGTCTACATCTAACAGGCCTGTCTTTCCTCCTTGCTGTGGTTAACACTGAAGTTCTAGAAAATGTCCTATTAGTACCTTCATCTTGAGAGGTGAATGATTTAAGAAGAGAAGTGACTGTATTTATTTTTATTTTACCCAATGTCCATTTGGGCAGTTACTAAACTTAAAAATGCAGCCTGGGCAATGGAATGAGACCCTGTCTTTACAAAAAATAAATTAAAAACAAAAAATAAGTGTGGTCGCACAAGTCTGTAGTCCTAGCTACTCAGCAGGCTGAGGCGGGAGGATCACTGGAGCCCAGGAGTTCGACACTACAGTGAGCTATGATGGCACCACTACCCTCTGGCCTGGGCAACAGAGTGAGACTCTGTTTCTCTCTCTATATATACAAATAAATAAATGAATAAATAAATAAATAAAATGTAATATGATAACATATAAATATCACGTATACCGACAGTCCTTACTTTATATATTAATGTCTTATTTAACCCTGGACAGCTCTCCTGGGCTCTCTTAGCCTTCACCACTCAGAACATGGCTATGAATGCCTCAGGCCACACTGGCTAGGTGGAGAGAGCTAGGAATGAGAATTAATGTATATGATTCAGCTTAGTGATTTTATCAGATTGATTATCTGGTTTCTCTTAAGTTTACAGATATAGGCAAATATGAAAGGAGATTGAAGACATGACAACCAAGACAAGTAGATAGGACAGAGGCTGTGGCATCGAGAAGAATTATGAGCTTTTGAGGCATCAGGACGCTACTATGTCGAGGTAATAACTTCACAGAAATGACAATAAGTCTCCAAGAAAAAAAGTTAAATTATATTCACTATATAGTAGCACTCTACTTAGGAAGGGAGGAAATTTTATAATACATTTTACAATGATTTCTGCCGGAAAATGTTGAGTTTTCTCCCCTTTCTAACAATGTCAGCATTAATGCATTTAAATAATATTCTGAGTAAATATACTATCTGGAAGCAGTTATTTCAGGAGTCTACAAAATTAAATATTTAAATCTTTACTAGAGAAATATGGAAGTAAGAACAAAAGTGAATAATCATTGAGGAACTCTTAAGAATTACGGTTTTGCATTCTCTGTGTAGAGAGGAACCTATGATGGGAAAAAATAAATTTCCTTTTTGACCTACTGGTTAGTGCTGTCATAAAGCCCCTCCAGCTTAGGCGACCTGAGAGAATTTTTAAAACCCTCTTTTCAGAATAGTGGAAAAGGTTTTCTCCCCTTCTCATTTCCAAGAGAAAGGTAGTGTTGACCCTAAAAGCTAAGAGAGGAAAAGACTAGATGTGTGTTGTGGAATCCTTTCTCGACTCTTCTTTCTCTAATATTCTTGCTATATAAACATGGTAGTTCCATCAGTAAGAGTTTTAAGGAAGCGTTGGCGAGGCTTGCTCACTCTTTGGGACACCACACTGTCACAATGAGTAGCACCAACACCACCACGTTACAGTGGAAACGCCACAGTGGAGCTAGTAACAGAGTGTTAGTATTAGCGGGATGAATACACCTGCTGGTGCAATTTAGGTGAATTTCCATAACAGAACATATATTAGTTAATTTTGCTTTAGATTATGAATTGGGAAAATTCCTTAGCATATTATTAGCATATTATCATATCAGCATAACAACAAGTATTAAGGACACAAAAATTCTAATTACAAGTAAGTTTTTGCCACCAAACTTATAATTTCCACTTCTTCAACTATCTGTTTGCTTTTTTACCCTTGGACTTGTCTAAGACTCTACTCAGGCCTTCTCTTCCCTTCAAATCCCAGTTAAGGAGACGCCATTTAGAATATAGCTGTTGATTCATCTTTTTAACAGCACTCTTTTTTTTTTGGTACAAAAATCTCTAGGGCTTTTCTTCTTTCCACTTAAATCCTTTTTCCCACCCAGTGCTCTCTGAAGAGCTAAGGCTAACTTTTTCCTTTTCTAAAGATCTTTTTTTTCCTATGCTGTTTCCCCATAGTTCCACCCGCCCCTCCCCCACCCTCTTCATGTCTCATATAAAAACAGCACTCTCACTGGGCTTAATCCCCAAATGTTTTTAATTGACTCATTTGGTGAGGCTCTCCCTAGCTAAATGAACAGTCTGCCTTTTCAAAGGAACCAAACATTTCTTCCTTCTGAGTATTTTAAACTCTTCTAACAAAGCCAAACATGGATTAAACAGCGTTACATAAGTCTCTTCACAGCACCTAAGTTCAAATTAGGAATCAAGTCCCAATAACCAATGGGACATGGATACTGTTTTCACCAATAAATAGCCACCCCATCAAGCTGCCCCATCGACTAGGAAGAGGCCCACTCAGGCACCCGGAAGCTTTGCCCCAGAGAGCAGAATGAGGTCCCTTCCTGAAACTATACCACTGCTCTGCAGACATATCTCACCCACAGTGCTTTCCTATTGCCAGGAGCACCGGGAGGGAATATTTGCCCATTCTAATCATCCCTTCTAATGGCGCAGCAAGAGATCATGCACAGAGGTGACGGGGAAAGAAAGAGCAGTGCCACTACTCTGTGGTTAACTTTTCACCTGTATTGTGAATTAACTACACTCATTATTCATTTAAACAGCACCTAAAGAACCTTCAAGTCTAAACACATCACTCTATCATTAGTGACTGTTGCTGAAGAAGGGCTTCACTGAAATATGATTGTATTAACATGTGAGGAAGCTGAAATGAATTTTCTTTAGAGCAGCTCATAGTACCAACCACTCCCTGCCCCTCCCATTCTCACTCCCAGTAGCTGGGAGATGATGCTTCATTGTTCTAAGCTTAGACTTAATACAACACTGCACTTTTCTTAAACAAATAAACCTTTTGCTAAAGTGGATTAAAACATCTCAACAGCTACGGCACACATGCAGTCATTAAAGACTGTTCAGCATATAGACAGATAATTTCCACAGTGTATGGTTTAAGAAGTTAAACAGAAAGTTAACAGAGAAACTGTTCTTGAAGTATGAGAATGATTAAGTGGAAATGTTAAATTTTCAAGGCAAAGTATTTTTTAAATAACCTCAAAAATTAAAAAAAAAAAAAAAAAAAAGATCTTCACTGAAGCTAAAAAGACATGACCAATGAAGGAAAAGCATTAAATTAGGAGTCTGGAGTCTGGTTTTCAGCCTCAGCCATCAAACAAACAGGCTGTGTGTTGTAGGAGTGGTCATTTAACCGCACTAAGCCTCAAATGTTTCCTCTGTAAAATTAGAACATTAGGTTCAATTAAAGCCATTTAAGCTTTAAAATTCTACGATTGTCCGTCCAATTCAATAAAATAAACTGTATTTAATAATACCTGCTTTTTCAACTAAGCTAATTTTTTAAAAGGCAGAAAATCTAACCAGAAAAGAATAAAAAATGTTTAACTTGTACAACATAAACTTTGTCCAGAAATCAGTATCTGCTCTTCCAAAGAAAAATAGCCTTTTGTTTTCTATTGTTCAGTGTACAGCTTACCACTAAGCAAGGAATAAATGTGGGGCTACAGTTCATCTGTATGTGCCAGCATGTTACTTTCAAGGGTTCAGTAGCTCCACGGCAGAAAGAAACTTCTCTATTACTCACTATTAAACTGCATTTCAAAACCTACAAAAACAGCTCCAAAATTAAGCCAGCAAAATGTTGCTGTCATCCATCTGAACCTGTTAGAAATCTCAAGCTCGTCATAGAATCTTTGACCTCACCATTCAATGTTTTACAAATTGAGTAACTATGTCCCTGTCATTTACTACTAAAATGACAAAAATAAAAATAAAAGGTAAAGAGAACACTGAAGGTTAGGAGTAGGTGAGGATGGGAAAAGGGAAGAACAAACATGTCCGGCTGAATTCAGAGCTAGATTCCAAGTGGGTTTCAGGGAGGACTGAAGTCAGAGAACTGCAAATGTTGTTTCACCATCTGTTTATTCACAGCTTTACCTTTGACTCATCAGAGTGAGGTCTGAAAACTGTTTGTGGGTCATAGTAAAAAGAGTTCTGAAGGACAATGTGACTTCCAGGGAGAGGTAAGCCAACCTACACTGCATGAGCCAGCAGAGCAGACACTGAAAGGTGATAAGAAGAAAAAGAAGCACTTGTTTTTATTAACGTAAGACCTCACCAACTTCCTCAGACTTCCCCAAATGAAATGTCAGACTCGCATGATTCTGAGTAAGAATCAACTGTGTCCCTTAGAAGAAAAACATCCCAAATTCAGTGATAATCGTGGGCCATTCTTTTTGACCAAATAGATTTTGCTCACGAACATTTTTTTAATGTAAATTTCCCAGTAGGAAGCAACACAGTACAGAGTTTTAAAAAATAAAATTCTTAATCCGCTCAGGATGAAACACACTACTTAAAATAAACTGAATGACACCTAAAATGATCCGCTGAATGAAAAGAAAAGCTATTCCAAGTCACAAAATAAACTATTATTAAGCCATGGAAGCTTACTCTGTATTCTCACTCTCCTTTTCAGTGACATTTTTATGAAACACATGTGGTAGGCAGTTTGTGCTTTGCAGCAGAGAAAACTCAAATAATGCTTTCCCAATTAAAAAAATCCTGGGGTCTTCCAGGACCGGCCCTTCCTTGTTCTCCTCCATGCTGGTCAAACTGGCGATCTGGACAGGCTCTTTGGAGCAAGGTGCTCAACTCTTGAAGAATAGTATTGGCAAGGACTTGGGGATGTACTTCTCTGCATCTGGGGTGCAGAAAAGATAAGAACACAGTCCCTGATTTGCCTCTGCCCCTGTTCTTATGTTTCTGCTGGTGCATATCTTGCTGTGCTCTGCAACCCCCACCAGCCGACCCCTTACGGCCATTCCTACTCGCTGCCTGACAACATGATCAAAGGAGGGTGGAAGAGGAGAGCCAAGTTTAATAACCTTACCAGGAGATCAGATTGTCTGGGGCCAAGCAGAAGTCCTGAGATAGCTGCTGAATCCTGGCCATTTACAGAGCAGCACAAAACTAGTCCTGTTCCTTTTCCTGCCGCGGTTGCCATGGCCGACCCAAACAATATACCCCAGCTTCAGCCTCCTTTGGCTTCCTAACCGCCACCCACAGACCTCCAAACGTGGGCAGGAGGAGGTGAAAACTGCTCACCGATGGGAATTGAGGAGCTAGGTAGAGGATGGAAAGGGGATCTGGGCTGCAGATCAGCCCGGAGGGTGTAACGTGGTAAGCAGACGTGCTGCTTTTAGCTGCTAGGCTTTGCTTCTGTGAGTTTTCACCTCATTTCTAAGTGGAAAACAGATCTTAAGAAGAAAAAGAAACCAGCTAAAAACCCAACATGGGACAATTACTATCACCTTTAAACTTTGGTTTTAGCACCTTTAAACTCTGGAATGAACCGTGAACCAGCAAAACAAATGGAAAAAAAAAAAACAAAAAGCAGCGACCTCCTGGGTATGGTAATATCTGAACAGAAGCGAGGTTTGGGAGGGGATGTTGGCATCAGGGTGATAAACCCTAGGAATGGCATACGTGTTGTGACGTTCTGGTTTAAAACAAGTTCCTATTTGAAGATGCCATTAAAAAAGTTTAGATACAGAAACTACACAAAGAAAGAGACAGAGGAAAAAAGAAGATTACCCTAAAAATAAACCACCAATGAATTTTTTATGACACATGTTGAAACTAACAACAGACTAGCCCAGGGAATGGCGCTCAGGCGATGGAGCACCTATGCTCTGGGACAAGCATGGCCACTGTCCAGCTAAGCAAGCCATTAACCCTTTTGGCCATTCACTTCTTCATCTATAAACGGGGCAGAGAAGGGGAGAAGGAGTAGGCTGTCTTTAAATTCCTTTACACACAAGACAGGGATGCCCTCTCTCACCACTCCTATTCAACATAGTGTTGGAAGTTCTGGCCAGGGCAATCAGGCAGGAGAAGGAAATAAAGAGTATTCAATTAGGAAAAGAGGAAGTCAAATTGTCCCTGTTTGCAGATGACATGATCATATATCTAGAAAACCCCATTGTCTCAGCCCAAATCTCCTTAAGCTGATAAGCAACGTCAGCAAAGTCTGAGGATACAAAATCAATGTGCAAAAATCACAAGCATTCTTATACACCACTAACAGACAAACAGAGAGCCAAATCATGAGTGACCTCCTATTCACAACTGCTTCAAAGAGAATAAAATACCTAGGAATCCAACTTACAAGGGATGTGAAGAACCCCTTCAAGGAGAACTACAAACCACTGCTCAACGAAATAAAAGAGGATACAAACAAATGGAAGAACATTCCATGCTCATGGAAAGGAAGAAGCAATATCGTCAAAATGGCCATACTGCCCAAGGTAATTTATAGATTCAATGCCATCCCCATCAAGCTACCAATGACTTTCTTCACAGAATTGGAAAAAACTACTTTAAAGTTCATATGGAACCAAAAAAGAGCCCACATTGCCAAGTCAATCCTAAGCCAAAAGAACAAAGCTGGAGGCATCACACTACCTGACTTCAAACTATACTACAAGGCTACAGTAATCAAAACAGCATGGTACTGGTACCAAAACAGAGATATAGACCAATGGAACAGAACAGAGCCCTCAGAAATAATGCCACACATCTACAACTATCCGATCTTTGACAAACCTGACAAAAACAAGAAATGGGGAAAGGATTCCCTATTTAATAAATGGTGCTGGGAAAACTGGCTAGCCATATGTAGAAAGCCGAAACTGAACCCCTTCCTTACACCTTATACAAAAATTAATTCAAGATGGATTAAAGACTTAAATGTTAGACCTAAAACCATAAAAACCCTAGAAGAAAACCTAGGCAATACCATTCAGGACATAGGCATGGGCAACGACTTCATGTCTAAAACACCAAAAGCAATGGCAACAAAAGCCAAAATTGTCAAATGGGATCTAATTAAACTAAAGAGCTTCTGCACAGCCAAAGAAACTACCATCGGAGTGAACAGGCAACCTACAGAATGGGAGAAAATTTTTGCAATCTACTCATCGGACAAAGGGCTAATATCCAGAATCTACAAAGAACTCAAACAAATTTACAAGAAAAAAACAAACAACCCCATCAAAAAGTGGGCGAAGGATATGAATAGACACTTCTCAAAAGAAGACATTTATGCAGCCAAAAGACAAAAAATGCTCATCATCACTGGCCATCAGAGAAATGCAAATCAAAACCACAATGACATACCATCTCACACCAGTTAGAATGGCAATCATTAAAAAGTCAGGAAACAACAGGTGCTGGAGAGGATGTGGAGACATAGGAACATTTTTACACTGTTTGTGGGACTGTAAACTAGTTCAACCATTGTGGAAGTCAGTGTGGCGATTCCTCAGGGATCTAGAACTAGAAATACCATTTGACCCAGCCATCCCATTACTGGGTATATACCAAAAGGAGTATAAATCATGCTGCTATAAAGACACATGCACACGTATGTTTATTGCGGCACTATTCACAATAGCAAAGACTTGGAACCAACCCAAATGTCCAACAATGATAAACTGCATTAAGAAAATGTGGCACATACACACCAGGGAATACTATGCAGCCATAAAAAATGATGAGTTCATGTCCTTTGTAGGGACATGGATGAAGCTGGAAACCATCATTCTCAGCAAACTATCGCAAGGACAAAAAACCAAACACCGCATGTTCTCACTCATAGGTGGGAATTGAACAATGAGAACACTTGGGCACAGGAAGGGGAACACCACACCCCAGGGCCTGTTGTGGGGTGGGGGGAAGGGGGAGGGATAGCATTAGGAGATATACCTAATGTAAATGACGATTTAATGGGTGCAGTACAACAACATGGCACATGTATACATATGTAACAAACCTGCAAGTTGTGCACATCTACCCTAAAACTTAAAGTATAATTTTAAAAAAATTCCTTTATAACTCTATATTTCTCTTTATAACCTCTATGAAAAGTATTGCAACTAGGTTTGAACAAAATCATGTAAACAAAAGACTTGGAGACTAACATCTTAATTTTAACAATGACTATACTGGGCTGTGGGGGTAAATGTTTCCTTTCTTTACTCAGTTTAGGAAACTGTGCCTATAATAAATAGTACATCTATGGTGAATGTACTTAATGCCACTGAAATGCATATTTAAAAATGGTTAAAGTGGGTTGGGCACAGTGGCTCACGACTGTAATCCCGGCACTTTGGGAGGCCGAGGCGGGTGGATCACCTGAGGTCAGGAGTTCGAGACCAATCTGGCCAACATAGTGAAACCCCGTCTCTACTAAAAATACAAAACTAGCTGGGTGTGATGGCGCACGCCTGTAATCCCAGCTACCCGGGAGCCTGAGCCAGGAGAATTGCTTGAACCTGGGGGGTGGAGGTTGCAGTGAGCTGAGATCACACCACTGCACTCCAGTGCAGGCAACAAGAGCGAGATTCCATCTCAAAAAAACAAAGCAATAACAACAACGGTTAAAGCAGCAGCTTTTATGTTGAGTGTCTCTAACTACCATTTAAAAACTTAAATCTGTATAAGAGAGCAGGCAAAACACGTCATGGAGCCCACACTGTACGAATGTTTTGGAGGTGCGCACTGAGTTAAAAATAAAAAACATGGAATTTATTTTCATTTCCTATCTAATTTGGTCTCCAGAGCCTGCTAAGTACAGTTTCCATTTCTACTCGGGTGCAAGAGCAATGGCTTATTTGCTGTTTTACGGAGCAGTTCCTTAACTATCATTGCCTCTGAACCCCCTTTCCCCCCAAGATTGACTGTCGGTCTACAGAATCAGTTAAGTGCTACAAATCACTACTAACAGCTCCTGCGAGGCGCTCCCTCTAAGAATCTGTACAGATCAAAATCTCAAGTGCTTACTTGCCCAGGGACTGCCATAATTTGAGGTGTTGCTTCTTTTTAAAGTATAAAAAACAGATGCTCTAAGCTGATGAAAGTAAATGTCCTTTCAACACATCTCTTCCCCAGCACTTGAAAATCTTACCAACAAGAAGTACTTCCCACACTCCGGTCGGTAATTTCTGCACTTTTTTACTTTTCCTTTGAAGCCGCAGTGCAATGTGATTCTACACCCGGGGTGAAACAATTCCTTACGGGGAGCCTTTGGAGAGCACCCCAAACAAGGGGGCTGCTGGAATGCAAGTGTGATGCCCAAGGAGACTGTCTCCCTACCTCAGAGCTGAAGTGATCAAATGCTTCTTGACAACCTTCACGAGAAGTCTCAAAGTTACACACACAGGCTTAGTCATTTCCAAACGTCTGCACCAATGTGCAGAACTTTTCCTGCCCTGCTCTCTAAGCACTCAGCGAGGGGGAGGGGGCACAGTGCAAAACAGACCAGTGAATCAAGCGACCACACTGTAGCCCTACACCAGTGCTCTGCAGGCCCCCTTGCCTCCTCAGGCCTCACCTCTCTCATCTGTAATTGCAGAGATTGGACCCAGTGATCCTAAAATCCCTACCCGCTGGAGCATCCTAGAGTCTCTGTGACAGGAATATGACACGATTGCCCACAGCAGTTCACACAGAAGCCAAAATCCAGGTAGTGAGCCTATGCTGGGACTTGGGGGAGGGCTAAAGTGAAGGCAGGGATCAGAGGGTGAGCAAAGAAATTAATGATACAGAATTCCAGACCTACTTCAAACAATAGCCCTACTGTTTTGCTCACCCCACACTAGGTTTTAGGGAAAGAGATATAAGGATACCTCGTCCTCTGTGAGGTGACTCAACAGTCACAGACCCAAACTGAATGATGGAGCAGAATAAAATCAAGTAACGTAAACATCCACATAGTCCAATTCTTTCCCTGATCCAGTAAGTCACGGAGGCCGTTCCTGAGATCCAGACCTATTTATACAAGTGCAGGCTGGGCACCTTTCCCTGAAGGTCCCACTCAGTTATTCTCTTGGTTCCCCAATCACAGTGAGTGGTGTCATTTGCCCATTCACTTCCTCAAACCAGACACTACCCCCCTCTCATTCACTTCCAATATCTAATTGCTCATCAAGTCCTCTAAATCCTTGCTTATTAACATCTCTCCAATCTGCTCATTCTTTCCATTCTGTCACTTCCATTGCCACTCCAAACTCCATGAGAACAAGGGGCCTGTCTGTCCTGGTCCCTGCAGAAGCCGCAGCACACAGACCTGTGATTAGCATGAAGCAGGTGCTCTGTGGTTCTGGAATTTTCAACATTCCTCTGTCACCTGGATTTCTACAACTGCTTCCTCTCTGGTCTCCTTGCCCACCACCTGGTCCCTTATCATGCCAAATGCATAGCACTAACAGAATGAAATCACTGAAACACACACCTGACTTTTCACATCCCTACAGTCCTTGAATGGGTCTACATTGCATCCAAGATAAAATCCAAGATCTCTGCTTGGCTCACAAGGGCCCTTCCTGATCGAGACCCTGAGCCCCTCTAGCGGTGTCAGGCCTGCCTCACTATGGACCTACCAAACTGCTTATTGCTCCTTCAGCCCATCCATATAATACTATTTTGCACTTCTTTTGTCTTTCTTTGCCCAAGCTTGTCTGAACAACTCCTCATTCTGAAAAGCTTGGACTGAAGGACGTGCTCTGCAGGCCTTCTCAGCACCCTTTCCTCCAGTCAACCTGACTCAGGTATGAAACATACCCTACCATAATGCTTAACAGAGAGCAATGATTAATCTGTTGCCTGCTCCCAGTACTAGAGGTCAAAGACCACATCCTATCTTATGCTTTAGCCTCAATACCTAGAGCAGAATTTGGCGCCCAATACGTATGCAAGAAATCTTTGTTGAATTAATGAAGAATGGAGAAAGAGAACGAGAGGCAGAGAGAAAGAAAGAGATCTTAAAGGAAGAGAGGGCCGGGCACAGTGGCTTATGCCTGTAATCCCAGCACTTTGGGAGGCCGAGGCAAGTGGATCACGAGGTCAGGAGTTCAAGACCATCCTGACCAACAAGGTGAAACCCTGTCTCTACTAAAAACACAAAAAAATGGTCCGTGCGTGGTAGTGCACACTTGTAATCCTAGCTACTCAGGAGACTGAGGCAGGAGAATTGCTTGAACCCAGAGGCGGAAGTTGCAGGGAGCCGAGATTGCACCATTGCGCTCCAGCCTGGGCGACAGAGCAAGACTCCATCTCAAAAAAAAAAAAAAAAAGGAAGAAAGAAAGAGGACCCTGAGAGGGTTAAGTGCTTTATTCAGGGCTAAATAAACCAGACTGGGACAAGAATTCAGGCCTCCTAACTTTCTCTGATGGATCCTCCTTCTTCCAATCCATCCCATAAATGCTTTTCAAATTTCTCTTCTCTTCACTTTATCACCTCCCGCTAGACGAGCTTCTACAGTTTTCCTAACAGCTATTGAATCTCTATCATCTCTTTTCAATCCTAGACTTAGATATACAATTTTCTGTCACCTAAATGTCTCATTGGCAGCTCAAATTCAAAAGATGAAGAAATGAAATAATTACATTTCTAACCACCCTGCCACCAAGAAAAAGAAGTTGTTCCTCCTCAGGAATCTGTAGGCTCCTCCTCCCCATTCATACAGTCAGCACTTGAGACAGAAATGTGGAAGCTAGCATCTATTTTTTTTAATTACTATTTCTATACTAGGACATATACCATGTGTTTTACATGTCTTATTTCATTTAAAATGGCAGAACCAAACCTTGGTAAGAAGTCATGCAAATGGAATTTGGGAGGGAAGAGAATAGGGTAGGAAAAAATAAAAGAAATCTGATATTTGCCACTCATACTTGGCACCATCAACTTCTCTTTTTCTCAAACTCCTCAAATACAACACCAAATCCTCCCGGTTGTTCCACCAGTCCTCCCACTCTACTGCCACTACTCTAACCTGGACCCTCCTAAAGTCTCCTGGACTTCTTCAAGAGTACCTAGATGGTCTCTCTGTCTCAATAACACCCCAATGAATTCTATCTTCTACTCTGCCCAGAGAATGAACTTTCTAAAAGTAGAAGTCATTTCCGGTTCCAAGCAAGGTGGGGAAGTTGCACAGGCTAGAGGTTGATGCAGCTGAGAGTTATTTTCCATGTGATGGGGAATTCTTGCAGGAAAGAAGGTGGTTAAGTCTCAGTAGAGGGAACACTGGGGAAAATAGCAGACTGAGAGAGAAGAGGTCCAATGGTTATGAGTGGGGGAGTCATTTGGGGAACTTAAAAATTACTGATAATTTTTAGACATAAAGGAAACTATGTTTATACCTAAGTTTATGTTTAAATAAAGGTATAAATGCTACAAGAATAAAATAAAATGTGTTCGGGAAAAAAAATCCGATCTATCCAAAGGAAGAAAGCAAAACAAAACAAAACAAAAAGTAAAGCCAAGTAGAAAACATTAAATGAAGCTAAAAATCTTAATAAAAATGATTACAGTAAGGATAACTGGGTATAAAGTCACTAATCAAATAACAGAGACAAGTACAGAGCTATGCACAATATGTGGTGGGGGGGAAGAATGATGCGTGTAAAATGAACATATACAATGACATTAAAACTAAAAGATTTTTAAAAAAGAAAATATAAGCAAAACTAAAAACAAAAACCAGGATAGCACTCTGAATATCAGACAAAATGGAATGTAAGGTTAAAAGCATTATAAATGATGGTGAGGGACATCCTAGGCTGGCAAAAGGAACAACCAATAAAGATGATTTTATAATCGTCAACATACATGCATCTAACAAAATGGCACAGAGATATTTAAAGCAACAACTATGAAGAGAAATAAATAAATAAAAATGTAATTAGCAATTAAGGAAAAAAGGGAAGCTTAAAAATTCCCCACGTCTGTGAATTAAAATGTTTACTACTAGACAATTCCCAGAGGAAATAAAATGGAAATACAAAATACTGAGTTAAGTGACAATAAAAGTATATATCAAAATTTGTACAATGCAATTAAAACATAAGGGCTCATTGCAAGACCTCGGCTGAAGTCTGAACAGCCTGCAGCTCTTGTAGCCATATTCAGATCAGTAGATTTCTAGACAAGGAGAATTGCCAGAGTTAAAGGGTCATTTCATAATAATTAAAGGGTGTACTTATTAGGAAGATACATCAATCTTAAAAGTGTGTGTACCTAGGAACAGAAAAAAAAAGAAGACGTTCAAATCAGTGATATAGAGAAAGGAAAGCAAGCCAGGCACGGTGTCTCATGCCTATAATCCTAGCACTTTGGGAGGCCAAGGCAGGTGGAACACCTGAGGTCAGGAGTTCAAGACCAGCCTGGCCAACGTGGCGAAACCCTGTCTCTACTAAAAATACAAAAATTAGCTGGGCACGGTGGTGCATGCCTGTAATCCCAGCTACTTGGGAGGCTGAGGCAGGAGAATCACTTGAACCCAGGGAACAGAGTTTGCAGTGAGCCAAGATTGTGCCACTGAACTCCAGCCTGGGTGAAAGAGCGAAACTCTGTCTCAAAAAAAAAAAAAGAAAAGAAAAGAAAAAGAGAAAGGAAGGAGGAAGGAAAATTAAATCCAAAGTAGGGAAAAAGAAGGAAATAATGAGAAGAACAGAAAGCAAACAGTAGTTCATTCTTTGAAGAGCTTAATAAAATTAATTAACATCTAGCAAAACTAATCACAAAAATAAGTAAATGAAAACATCATTAAAAATGGAAAAGGGGATATCACTATAAATCCTACAGACACTAAATAGATAAGAAGAAAGTATTACTAAAAACTTTATGTCAATAAATCTCACAACTTGGATGAAATAAAAAACTTCTTGAAAAATAGAAAGCATAACTTACCAATAGCAAGAATAAACAGAAAATCTGAAGAGTTGGCTATATGTTAAGAAATTGAATTCAGTATCAAAATCCTTGGCACAATGATGATACAACTGTTCTGTATCCTGATTGTGGTGGTAGTTATGCAACTCTACACATGTTAAAATGCATAGAATTGTACATCAAAAAAGGGAATATTTTACTTTATAATGTTTTTAAATTAAATTTTAAAAACTTAGAACCTTCACACAAAGAGAACTCCAAGCCCAAAGATTTCACTGTGGAATTTCATCAATTTTAAGAGGAAAGAAAATCTTACATAAATTCTTTCAGAAAATAGTAAAAAACAGGAGGACTCCACGAATACATTTTATATAATCAGTATTACTAACACTAACACTAAACCCTAGTAAATATTATATAAAGAAACAAAATTACAGACCAATGTTCTTAATAAACATAGTCGCAAAAATACTTAATAAAATGTTAGCCAAAATATCCAGCAATAGGTCAAAATAACACATAATTATAACTGGTTCTTATCCCAGGAACTCAAGTTTGGTTTAACACTTAAAACCAATCAATATAATTCACCACATAAAGCGGAAAACCATATGACATCTCAACAGAGGCAAAAATGAACTGCACAAAATTCAACACACATTCCCGATAAAAACAAACAAACACAAATTCTTAGAAAAAAGAGAATAGAAGGAAACTTCGTCAATCCAATAAAAGGCAAATGAAAAACCTACAGCTAACATCATGATGAAATAGTGGTGAAATAGTTAATACTTTCCCTGTACGATCAGAAAAAAAGTCCTGGTTATATAAATAATTTGAAAAGGATGATTTAAAAATTACATGTATTATATCGAAAAGCATAAAGTACAATTAAATTTTACCAAAGATATGCAATGTCTCTGCAGGAAAAACAGGGAAACATTCCTGGCAGAAATTCATTAAAAAGGCAGAGAAAGATATACCGTGTTTTTGAATTGAAGTTTCAATATTGTTAAGGTGAATTTTCCTTAAATTTCTCTCTTATGATTCAGTGCAATCTGAACTAACTTCTAACAGGCTTTTTTGGGGGGTAGGGGGATTTATATGGAACTCTGAAGGAGATAGAACACCACCAAAATAATCTTGAGGGAAAAAACAAGACAGAGAGGACTCACGCTATCTGTTTTCAAGATTTACCATAAAGCTATTTAGTTTTTAATTTTAACATTTATTCATTATTTTTGAATTTTATTGTTATTATTTTTGAGACAGGGTCCAGCTCAGTCACCCAGGCCGGAGTGCAGTGGCATGATCACAGCTCACTGTAGCCTCAACCTCCTGGGCTCAAGCGATCCTCCCACCTCAGCCTCACCAGTAGATGGGACTACAGGCACATGCCACCTCACCCAGCTGATTTTTGTATTTTTAGTAGAGATGGGGTTTTGCTATGCTGCCCAGGCTGGTCTCAAACTCCTGAGCTCAAGCAATCTTTCTGCCTCGGCCTCCCAAAGTACTGGGATTACAGGCATGAGCCACCACACCCAGCCTATTATTATTATTTTTAATAGAGACACGGTCTCACTCTGCTGCCCAGGATGGAATGCAATGCTGCAGTCACTGTAGCCTCAAACTCCTGGGCCCAAGCGATCCTCCCACCTCAGCCTCCCAAGGTGCTGGGATTACAGGCAAGAGCCATAGAGCCCAGCCCATGACAGTATTTTAATCAAGACAATATAGTATTGACCTAAGTACAGACTGCAGATCAGTGGAACAGAGAGTCTTAAAACACATATAAAACCAAATGATTTTTGACAAAGGTGTGATGGCAATTTCATAAGGAAAAAAAATCACTTCAATAATTGTTGTTTCATACATTTTAATAAAAACTGAATCTTGACCCCTACACCTCATATCTTAATTTGAAATGGCTCATATACTTAAATGTTAAGGCTAAACTAGAAATCTTCCAGGAGAAAACAGGAGGATAACATCTTAGCAACCACAGGGTAAGCAAAAATGTTATAAAGACACAAAAAGCATATATCTTAAAAAATGATAAATTAGACTTCATTAAAATTTAAAGGGGCTCATCAAACACAGTTTAAAAAATGAAAAAGGTAAGCCAAACACTGAGAAAAAATTCATATTTCTGATAAATGACTTAAATCCAGACTATATAAAGAACTCATATATATACACATATATATACACATATATATATACACACATATATGTAAGTTCACAAAATAAAAAAAAAAACCATCTATATCTATATAGATATAGATTGTTTGTTTTGCGACACATCATTCTGTTGCCCAGGCTGGAAGTGCAGTGGCACCATCATGACTCACTGCAGGCTTGACCCCTCCCAGGCTCAAGTGATCCTCCCACCTCAGCCTCCTGAGTATCTGGGATTACAGGTGCGTGCCACTGCTGCCGCCTAGTTTTTGTATTTTTAATAGAGACAGGGTTTCACCATGTTGCCCAGGCTGATCTCGAACTTCTAGACTCAAGCAATATGCCTGCCTTGGCCTCTGGCTAGCATTTTTTAAATTAACTGTTGCTACCTGCAACAATACAGATGATCTCAAAAATGATATGCTGAACAAAAGAAAGCAGATACGAAAAAGTACTGACTGATTCCATTTGTATGAAGCTCAAGAACAAACAAAATTCAATTACAGTGACAGAAATCAAAGCAGTGGTTGATGACGGGGAGGTGGAAAGTTGACAGGAAGGGGGCAGAGGGGCTCTGGGGTGATGGAAATGTCCCATATCTTGATTAGGATGCTGATTATGTGGATGTATGCATTCATCAAAACTCATTGCGCTGTACGCTTAAGATGTGTTGATTTCACTGTATGTTCTCCCTAAATAGAAACTAATTTATTAGTGAAAAGAAAGATGTACTTTCTTTTCACTATTAATAATAAACTAATTTATTAGTGAAAAGAAAGATGTACTTTCTACCTGGAGGGTCTGTGGGGATAACCCCTATTCCGTACAAAGGAACAGTGAACATGCTTGAGTGAAAACAGCCACGCAAGGCAGACAGCAAGTGAGAAACGCCTAAGGCAGGGGAAGAACGGTGGTCTGCTACAGTGAGAAGAGAAATAGAGAAGACTGAGTCAGAAGGGGAAGGTATACACCAAACAGGAAGACACGAGTGAACTGAACGCAAGAAGTAGAAAGTAAGAGACCTAAATTCGTGTTTCCAAATAATCCAGTTACCACATTACACTCAAAAAAAGAACCAAAGGCAGTTTTATTTGGAAATTGTTCTCTTCCTCCCTCGACACCTCTGTTAATCAAATTGGAAGCTAGGGGAGGGAACTGAGTAAAGGCAGGGACCTGAACATATCCCTCCGTTTTTGCTTTTTTTTTTTTTCTTTTGCCCCTTAATCAGCCACCTTCAAAACAGTGCCTTTCTAGGGCTAACGTCCTGCCTGTGGCATCTCATCACTGATAAACATCAGGAAGTAACTGCCATTCGCCATTTATAGATTTATATGTACCTGCTAGGATAATGAGATTCACAATCTGTTCATTCCCTTAGTAACTGAATGAAACTCACAAATGGCTACGAGGGAGTATCCTAGTTCACTGAAGCCCAAGCTGGCCTCAGGAACCAGAGATAACATTTCTCCTTTTTCCAGCTGAATTACTAAGACAAGCAAGAGATGACTCATAATAAGCATAGTTGATGAAGCAATTAATGCCAACTCTTCCTCTCTGAGTCATCCCTTCCAGTGAAAGAATCGCTAGGAGTATTAACCCTGGCTGAAAAAGTAGATGCCATGTGAGCACATTAAACTTTACCAAACAATGGAGTGGTAAGGGAAGAGTTGGAGGGTTTCTGTCCAAACTATCTGAATCTAGAGGGACCGCTCCATGAATAAGTTTCAATACAATTGCGGTAATCAGCACCGCTTCCTCTATTTCAATTTACAAACGCTGGGTTTACAGGAATAGCTTTCTGAGACATTCCTATAAAATTAGCTTACTCACTGAATTTTTAAAAAGGAGAACAAAGCCAAAGGACGCCATTGGCCTCTGGGGGCGTATGTGTGTGAACAAGCTGATGCTGTGTAGAAATGATGTGTCAATATCATTTGGGCTACTTGTGTGAAAACTGCTCAATCCAAGAGTTACTTCTTGTTTCTACTGACTGAACATGAAGAGAGAACCAAATATTCCAGACAGGGAAAGAATCTGAGAAAACATAGAGTGGAGTGATTTCAGTGTGTGTATATGAAGAAGGGGGAGCAAATATAAAATCCAACTGGATGCTTTTCATCCTCCATGCAGTTCTCCACCCGCTTACTACCCCTCACTTAAAGTGTGGTCCTGGGGCCAGCAGCATCAGTTTCACGGAGGGATTTGTCAGAAATACATATTCTCAGGCTCCACCCTAGAACTATTAAATCAGAACCCCTGGGCCTGGCGCCCAGAAATCTGTGGTCTAAACAAGCCTTCCAGGTGCCTCTGATGCAAACATTCAATAAAATGTAATCGTCAAATCTTAACTGGTCCCTGGCCGCGCGTAGTAACTCATGCCTATAATCCCAGTACTTTGGGAGGCCAAAGCGGGTGGATCACATGAGGCCAGAAGTTTGAGACCAGCCTGGCCAACATGTGAAATCTCGTCTTTATAAAAATACAAAAATTAGCCAGGCGTGGTGGTGTGCACCTCTAGTCCCAGCTACTTGGGAGGTTGAGGCAGAGAATCACTTGAACCCAGGAGGCGGAGGTTGCAGTGAGCCAAGATCACACCACTCCATGCCAGCCTGGGCGACAGAGTAAGACTGTAGAAAAAAAGAAAGAAAAAAAAAACCACACACCACACACACACACACACACACACACACACACACACACACACACACCAAAACCTGGCCCCATTTGCATGTACTACTGCTACACTCATCCCTCACTCCCACCCACCTTTCGGAGGTAGGCCGCCCATCACTAGATTTAGCAGAGCATCCGCTGACTGAAATGAGACACAGCTGGGAGGCACCCACCACCACCCGCCTTTGTAGAACAGCTACCCAAAAAGACAAGGATAGCAAGTCCCCTGAAGCTTTTCCAATCTATTCCTTTTTGTGATTGTTTTCCTTTTGAAATAGTGTTAACACATTTTAAAATTATATACATATTCATTTTGAAAAATACAGAAATGGCAAAGAAGAAAGTAAAAACCTCCCAGCTGACACTTAACATTTGTCCCATCTTTTTCTAAGCATCAATATATAAATATTTAACAGTATATACATGTTACTTAATTTTTAAAATTTGTAATTGTATATGTATTTTCTTGTATACATTCCTTTGAAAGCTCTGTGATGGGTGTAGGCTGAACTGCTGGGCTGTACTGTTTTAGAGCAAAAAAAGATACTCATGCTGTAATTCTAATTTTTCTGTGTTTCAAAGGGGGGGCTATTAATTTATTAAATTAATTTTTAAAATTTACTCAAGGTGAATTCTTATCCAGATCAATTCCAGGAGTTACGGGGCGTGGAATTTGCCAGATAAGCCACACCATTCTATGCCATCAAGTCACAGAAACTGGCTTCCCTACACTCTAATTTGTGCCTTGTCTGTTGCTTTGGGCATGAAACAGAATGTGGCTTCTTTCATTTCTCACTTCATTACCTAAAGTGGACATACACCTTCCCATACTCCCTCTCCCCTCTCCTTCCCTAACCTATCCCCTGCCCACCCTGGCCCCATTATTTCTCACTTGGATAACAGGAAGGTCGTACAACTCTCCCTTTTGAACTCATCGTCCACACTGGGTCAAATCTAAAATACATCTGCATATGCCACATCCGCTAAAAATCATTACAATAGCTTCTATTTAAACATGAGTATATCCCATCAGCCTGGCCCCATGCTACATGCGTTCAGACATTATCATATCTTTATAACAATCTTAAGAGACAGAGGCTATTATTTTAACGTTAGAGATAAAGACTCTTACAGCTGAGGTATGTTAAATAACTTGCTCAAAGTCACAAAGCTAGTAAAATTTAGGGCAGCTGACTCTGGAACCTATAACATGTGTTAATTCAAAAAATTTCATGACTACTGCCATCAACGGCAGTGGTTCCCAACATTTTCTTCAATCAAAAATGTTGCAGACTTCAGGCACTAGATGTTTAACTCTTAATATCTGTTGATCAAGAAGATGTACAATGGTCAAAAAGATACTATGAACTTAGTAACGCTGTGAATGAATTCTGGCTAATGACTTACAATATCAGCCAGCTACATATATTTGGAAGAAAGCTCCTATTTCTGTTAGTGATTCTGATGACCAAATCTACAGACCATGCTTTGTGTTGGTATGAATGTGCAGGTCCTCTTTTACAAGAAATGTGGTCTCCCATATGTTTTGGAATCTACAGATTAGAAAACCCCTAGAATATAAGCCAAAGTCCATACTCCTTAGCATTTGAAATGCCGTAAGTTTCCCAGTTTGGCTCCAACTTACTTTTCCAACTAGATTTCCTGTAACCCCATACCACGTCCCCTAAGCCCTACCTCTAGTTGTGTTAGACAAGCATTCCCAAATTACTGGATACCATGCACACTCAAGCCTAGAGGACCACAGCCATTTCTGCTGCAATTCTCTACCTGAAGAACTCAATCTCCTTTGAGACAGAGCTCAAACATCTCCAACCCTATGGAGCCATTCCTGACAACACCCCCACCCACTCAAGGCTAAATTAACGCATCCTTCGTCCATATGATCACAGTCCTATGATGATAAGTAACACACTACAGATAAAATGACATGCATCTCTGTATCTAGCTATCTGACCACTCTTCTCATCCAAACTTCCCAAGGGCAGGGATTGTGCTTCTTCATCAGTGTCTTAGCCCCAGCCCCATCCCTGAAATATGGTAGGTACTGTTTGTAAGATTAATAAATGAGTATCAATGCCAAGCTGGCTAGTGATTTTGCCTGGGGAAGTCAGTTTGGAAAATAGCTCTGACCACTAAAGAAGCTTTCTTTCAGTATGTTGTAATGGTTAATCATCTGTAAACCAGAAAACTCACAACGTCCTCCAAAAGTAGAAGACAAATACACTAGGAACTGGAAGATCTGAGCTCAGGTCCTGGCTTTCCTATGAACCAGCTGTGTGACTTTGGTCAAGTCACATTCCCTCTCTGATCTTCTGTTTGTTCACTGAATTGTGGCAGGGTTGTGGGGGTGCAAAAGGAGGGCTTCTAGTTCTTCCCTGATGCAATTCTCTGACGTGCAAAGGTATAGACTACAGTTGGCAAACATTTTCTGATGAGGATCAGATAGTAGATATTTCAGGCTTTCTTGGACTATGGTCTCTTTCACCATGACTCAAATCAAATTCTGCCAGTGTAGTGCAAAAACTGCTATAGACATTAGACAAATTATTGGATGTAGCTATGTGCTAATAAAACTTTATTTACAAGAACAGGCTGGATTTGGCCCATGGACCATAGTTTGCCTACTCCTGGTCTGGATGAATGCCTCCTTGTTGCCATTCAGTTCACAGAGCTTGATATGAAGATACAGTTCACGAGATGTCCATCCCAAAGCCTCTATCCATTCCAAAGGGACTTATAAGAAGGACAATAAAGATTACCATTCCCCAACCAAGAACTTGACAACGGGGAAGAGATTGCCTAGTTAGCGGTTTATAGTAAGAACAAAATTTAGTGGATGAGAACATGGACATACAAAGCCAACTGAAGAAAGATAATTACTACCATCACCACTACCCCTGCCCCAGCCAGCACCTGATGAAATATAGTCATGAATTTAAGAAAAGACTGTGTCCTCAAAAGGGCGCCAGGGCTGGCTTAGCCAGGAAAGTACAGAGTCACTAAAGTCTATGTAGGCAATGCCAAGGTTGTTGGGGAGAATACAGTGTCTTCACAGGCAAGGCCACCCTAGTGAGATGACTGTAGGGAGTAGCAGGCAATGACTGACATGTTCCTGGTCCCACTAGAAAAGCCACCCTTCTCCTGAGATGAACAGAGAGGCAGGCTATGTTTGCTTGGTGCCACTTAACAGTCAACTCATCCCACTCCCTTGTTCCGATTCCCTGCTCACCAAGCAAACACCTGACTCCATATGGATCTTCCTTAGAGAGCATGTGCACTGTGACTGCTGCTGATACCTGCAGCCAGAGAGCAGCAATTTCTCAAGGCACATCAATAAAGTAGCTTCCAGTTAGGATTTACATTCCCATGCAGCTTAACACAGAGAGAGAATGTGCTCATCATGTGGGCCTTGAGAGTATGTTAGTAATGGTTTCCACTGCGGATTAACATTCTGGCATAACGATCTCGTGGGTCTGAGGATATGCTGGCATCATGGTCTCAACTCAGGCTCATCTGTGGCATAGCTCTCTGAATCAGCATGGCAAGCCCTGGACACAGACCAGAAGCCATCTCTAGTCTCCAAAAGCAGGGGCAGAAGGCGGCGATCGTATGCAGATCCAGCCAGCCCTCGCTGACAGCATGGCTTACACGCCACTTCTGGCTCTACTCACTTTCAACTGATTTTCACAGAGCTGTTTAGGATGATGAAGCCAAAGAACCTGGTGCTTCAGGACAAAGTTTCTGTTTGCTTCCCTATACATGTATAGAATGGAAACTGGCACAAGATTTAATTAAGTGATGTAAAAACCAGAGGAAAGTAAATAAGAGCAACAGCCAAATATCCACAGTACCAATTAGTGACTGGCAGAGTTGCCACACAACAAGGTGCAATGAACAGTTTATGTGTTTCTTTAAAAAATCTAAATCATAGTGAAGGGTCAATGATGCCCAGAAAATGCCAGCTCTTTTGCCCTATTAAGCAGAAAACAAAGGCTCAGTGTATAGAAGTTAGAAAACTTTTAGCCACAAAAATATGACAGTGAATTATGCCTCTTAATAATATGCATGGGGCAAAATGAAAGAGCATTCCAGAAAGAAGGTCAGTGCCTGTTTTGCCTAAATCTTGCCAGGATATGCAAGGCCAAATGCCCCCAAACCAAGGAAGGAAAACAAAACTAACTGCAACGGAGCAAGAATGCAAAGCACCTCCTTTCCTGTTAACTGTGACATAATTCATTTTTCTCCTTCTGTTCCAGAACTTCTAACCTATAGGTCATGCTTATACCCACAGAAGAACCAAGGGAGTAAGGAAGCTGCTGGTTTCCAAAGAAAATGCTTACTTCCCATTTGCAAAGCGTTTCGCTGGAAATGCTGTGTTGAGTTACACCATCCAACTAGGAATTAAATATATTATGCTCTTTGGTAAATTATCAAAATGTAAACCAACAGCTACAGTGGAGACCATCTGAACTGCCAAGAGTTTTAACACTGTGATTTTAGTGAGAAAGAACATTTCCCCTGCTGTTTAGTTTTCAGCTAAGTTCAGCCTAGCTGTTTAGTTTTCAGCTAGCTTCATACAAAGCTGTGCATTGTACGCACAGATGTGTGCACACAATGTATACATGAAGACAACCACACACTTTTGTTCATAGGTTTTTACTGGGAATTTTCACATAGGATTCATTAAGTGAAGGTATGTAGCATGATAAAACTGTCATTTCCTAAGTTTTTCTACCCACCATAATTTGGGAAGTGGCTTTGTTTCTCTGACTACTAGACTTCCTGGGGACTCTGTCTTTATTTCCCGGGGACTCTGTCTTTATTTCCCATAACATTTGCAGAGTGCCATGCACACAATGAGCACTTAATAAACATTTGTTGAATGATTCATCTCCACAATATCAACGCAATTAAGAGAAATCTGGCCTTTCACGTGAATTTATGATACAAGCAAAATAAGCACAACAAATTTTAAAGCTCTTTAGTCCTCTGTCTTCTTATATAGAAAACTATTCAGTATTTCTACATCAAAAATTCTCCAGGGAAGGATAAACATACATTTTTTTATACATTCCCCCAAAGCACAGGAAGAAAGAGCAACTTTATTTCATTTGTGCAAATTGATAGATCACCTTTTGAATTCATGCTAAACAGCTAAATGTCGCAAGCAGCATGCTGTCAAAAACTGTCAAGTGAAATAATTATTGATTGGTGCATTAAAATTAAAAACGAATGTAGATTAATAAATGAAGATGGCTTTAAGAAAAAGCATGTCATCTACAACTAGAAAAACCCGACAGCGAATCTGCCAGTCAGGGCTATAGGGCTTAGAATGAAAGATTAAAGAGGAAACAAGAATAAGAAGATAAAAATTAACCACACAATGGCCTTTGTGACAACCCATGACAGCTGAGATAGGCTCTCCGGATGGTCACATCCCACCTGTCCTTCCTTTTCCAGCCCCTGACATAAATGTCATGGATTTCCCGGGTGGGTCCTAAATCCAATGACCACTGTTCTTCTAAGAGACAGGAGAGGACCTGGTACAGACACAGAGGAGAAGGCCATGTGAAAACAGAGGCAGAGACTGGAGTGACGCTGCCACAAGCCAAGGAACGCCTGGAACCACCAGAGGATGACAGCGGCAAGGAAAGGTTCTCCCAACAGAGCTTCGGGAGGGAGTGTGGCCCGGCTGACACCTGATTTCAGACGTCTGCCCTCCAGAACTTTGAGAGAACAAATTCCTGTTGTTTTAACCCACCAAGTTTCTGGTAATTTATTAGAGCAGCCCTGGAAAACTAACAGAGTTTCCCATCACATTTAGCGTAAAATCCAAGCTCCTGCAGCCTCTAGATCAATTCAAAGGCTCCTTCTGGCCTCAGAGCCTTCACCTGGCCATTCTCTTCCTTTACAGTGCTCATCCTCAGATTCTCATCTCACCCTTCACCACTCCCATCTTCCAGGGCTGGCTCCTATACCTTACTGCAGTCTCTGTACAAAAGCCCATCCCCTAAGACTTTCCCTGACTCCACCAAACAAAAGAATCCCCTTCGCCCCTGCCATCACTCTTTCTCCTAACATATCCTACTCTATTTTGGGGGGTCTGCAAATAGAGTCTACTTATGCAATTTACTTGTGGTTGTCTCCACTATGAGAACATAAGCTCTCTGAGGGCAGGGACTTAGACAACCTTGTTTGTTCTCTGTTACGTCCTCAGTGCATACAACCATGTCTGGTGCAGAAAAGACATTCAATAAATACTTGGTTGTATAAGAATGAATAAATTATTTTTCTGTGCTTTCACTCAATTATAAAAGCCTGACTTGATTAGCACCATCAAGACATATGAGCTTAAGACATTCTCTGCATTGCAAGTCAAGAATGCTTACTATTATTTTTGAAAATATCTGAGGGTTTACAACCTCTCTCCAATGCTCTTCTATTAAAACTCAGTTGATCCAAACATGGCTTTTTTGCTTTTATTATTTGGGTCGAGCTAAAGCATGGTATAAAGGAGAGGCCTAAATCCTTTTCCTACCAGCTATGTGAGCCTGAGTAAGTAATTACCCTCTTTGAGCCTGTAGAAAAGAATGATAAAACATGCTGTGTCTATATCCACAGGGCTGCTATGAGAACCCATTGAGGTAACCCATCCAGCAAAATATTTCTTTAGATGCTGTTCAGGCCAGATACTGTGCTAGCAGTGACACAGTTAGAACCCAGGCAAGAAATGTCTGTCCTTATCAAGCATACCTCTAGGCACATTTTGCAAACTGTCAAGACTTGTGCAGATGTAATGGAATCTGAGATTTGTGCTTGACACACCCAGAGGATAACCAGCTCCCCCGTTCCAAATTATTCCTGCTCTGCATACCTATTAATACAAATGCAAACCAGAAGATGGTTCCCTTAAGACAGCTATTAGTTTTTACTCAATTACTCACACATTTCCCCAAATGTTCCTCATTTGTCTCATGCCGAGCAATTTCTAATACAGATAAAAATCAGGAGCTACTACGAACAAGGTTACGGCATGTAGCCATCCCAAAATGTGGATGCCACAAACCCTGAAACATTATTCCTTTTCATTATTTCAAAAGAAACAAACCACATTTGAAATATGTACCAAGTGGCTGGGGGTGGTTGTTCATGCCTATAATCCCAGCACTTTGGGAGGCTGAGGTGGGAGGACTGCTTGAGGCCAGGGAGTTCGAGACCAGCCTGGGCAACATAGTGAGACCTCGTCTCTACAAAAAATTTGAAAATGAGCCAGCTATGGTGGCACGTCCTTGTAGTTCTAGATATTCGGGAGGCTGGAACAAGAGGACTGCTTGAGCCCGGGTATTTGAGGCTGCAGTGAGCTATGATCATGCCACTGCACTCCAGCCAGGGTGATAGAGGGAGACCCTGCCTCTTAAAAAATAAATAAATAAATACGTACCAGGTATGTCTGCAATGCAGATTTAATGTAATAATTTACAAAATGGCCATGTCATGGTTATTTTTAATTGAATAAAATAGGTAGCTTATGGCTTGTTTTCTGTAACTCAGCCTTAACATTTTGTTAAGCCTTTCATTTGTTTTCCTCAGAAGATGTGCCTATCTTTCAATTCTAAATAAATGGTTCCTATGAACCTTTTGAGAAACAGAATTCTTGGAGGATCTGATTGAAAGCTACAATCCTCTCCCAGAAAAACCCACATACACAGAATGTCATGCTGTAATACAGTTCCTGGGGGAGCCTTGGGACGTTCTGGAAAAGTTCAGTGATCAGAAATGAAGAATTCCCAACCACCTTATTGCAGTGGCCGCAAAGGGGCACACTCAGTGGCCTCACCTGACCACTGCAAAGATTCGTTCTTCTAGCCAGCCTACACAATTAGGCACCAACTCAAAGCAATATCATGTTGCAAACTATGCAGCATTAACTGATGTTGAGGAAATGAAAGGAGATAACGAGTCCAAGCACGCACATTACACACTTCTCCCAAATGGCACTGCAGCAGGGGGCGGCTGTAAGCCAGGCAACAGGAGATGCATTCATTAGCCATGACCTCCCAATGCCAAGAAAGGGCCCAAAGTTCAGCAAATGGGGATGATTAGAAATTTTACAAGAAAATGAAATCTTGAGCTTTTAATTTTACTGAAATGTGATTTTCTGCTTTCAACTCAAAATGCATTTACATGTTCCACGTCCTGTGAAGTTATAAAGAAAAGATACATTTAAATGAACAAAAGCCAAAGGAAGTGCTCACTAATAATAGTCTAATTACAAAAAAGTATCTCCCCCCACCTGCCCCACTGTTTGTTCAATAAAACTGATTCCATACACTGAACCATCTCACTATCGCTTTTCTGGGCTACATGTATATGAGCGCAAAACTCACAGTAAATAACGATAATAAAAAATCCAAAATAACAGGAAACATCTACAATTATCCAGAGAAAATATGTCAAATTATAAAGTCTCTGAGTCATGATAGTAATCAAACCTGAGTCTCTATTGGCTTTACAAAACACTATTAATATTTCCTGTAATAAAAACTGAGGTGTAGTTACTCAGGTTCTTTAGTGAGTCAACACATGTAATTTGCTAAAGCTGAAACACACTGTTGCTTTCCCCATGGCTGAGAATGCAGTGTCAGTAACATGCGAGTTTTCTGCTCTGCTTCAAAAGATCTGTTATGTTTAAGAATTTAAAACACACACACACTCTCTCTCACACACACGCAAATACAGAAGTATTTTCTACCAAAGAAGGTACAAGGTGTTTTTACCCAACAACTCTGAATGTGTGTGATCATGCGTAAAGTTCTCTTTAAGTACTATTGGTATGCTACATTTAAAATATTTCAGACTGTGTTTCCATAAACATTTATACAGACTTCTCAGAAATAAAGGAGAATTCTACTAAGGATTAAAAGTCACTGCCGTGATTTATAAGCTATTTCAACTAAACATTGTAAACTTTGGACTATTTACTTTTCAGTGGGAGAGATCATTCCTTCCAGAGATAGAGTAACATACTATATTATCATTTTTCCTACTTTTAAGTTTCCAGGTGTAACATCTCTGGGGACATTTTCATTTTATTAAAAAATAATAATTTTTGTATGATCCTTTAAACAACAATCTATCCTTCTGCAGTTGAAATGAGTTCAACTACCCACAGTCAGCTTACACATAACTTATTACTATAAATCAACTATAAAAACTAAGCTACAATCATTACTTAATCCTAAAAGGAGGAGGAAGAGACAAAACTCAAGTACAATCTTTTATAGATAAAATCATGTTCTATATCACCCCTTTGGATAAACCTTTTATTTATGAATCTAGCGCATTTCCCCTCGTAGGCTAAATTTCCTTAAGCTTTTCTGGACAAATTCCCTGCATTCAACAGAATAAGTTCCAATGTTTAGTCAGAAAAGAGACTCTGGAGCATTAAGATAATTACACAATTTCAACTTCTAAGTATATATATTTTTAAAATTAATAACATAGTGCACTTCCTTACTTAGAAGGAAATTTAAATTACAAAGAATCTGACATTTTGAAATTTCTGAACCCAAAAGCCATTAAAAAAATAGCCCATGAGCCAAGCAGCTTCACTAAATGTTTATCACAGTGTAACATTTCCACAGTATGAAAAGTTTCTGGCTATCATGCAATTTTAAATTCATGTCCATTTTCACTCGACTGTGTTTTTTTAACATAAGACTAAAGCATGTTGATTCTTACACAAATCATAAAAGAGACTATGAGGAAAGTTCAAAGTAACCTCAAGCATGATGACTTCACGTTCAAAAGATCTTTCTCATGTTAATAACATTTAAATCTCTGCCTGTGTGTGACTCACATGCCTCAGACTGGAAGTTCAGCCCAATCAGCTCTCCCAACTGATTGGTGAGGGAAGTACATACTTCATTGTCTTAAACCCCGAGTGACTGGCATTCCCTTTAACTGGGCAGTGTGTCTAAATATGGAAAAACTTCATGAGAAACTGAAACAGGCAAAGAGGAAAAATATTACTGGCACCAGTCCTTCAGTATGAATCGAGAGAAAATTCATGAAGTCTCCAAAAGAATTTTTTAGGTGTCTTTTTGATGAGCAGGAATTCCAGTGCCTAGGGCTTTCAGTTCTTTGTGCATCAAAGTTTTCTTCTAAGCATGTATGGTCATGGAAGAGCTGGAGTATCTTTCATGACAATGGCCTCTAATCAAACCCAGTGTTCACCCCTGAGAGACGACCTGTGCACTTCACTCCATCCATCACAGGCAACTAAATATACAACCAGGGCAAGCAACCCATGAACAGGGTGAAAAACAGCCACTGGAGCTGGCTATTTACAACCTTGCTCTGCTCTAAAACTTTCTACGGGACAACCATTCAGACCCGAGTTCTATGTACAATAGGTTTCAGCCTTAGCAAATTAGATAGATGCACTGACTTACTTGCTAAAGAACCTGAGGAATGACGCCTTAATTTTTATTATAGGATATATTAATAGTGTTTGGTAAAGCTGATATAGAGTCAGGTTTGATTGCTGATATAGAATCAGGTTTGATTACTGTCATGACTCAGAGGCTTTATAATTTGACATATTTTATCTGGATAACTTTAGATTTTTCCTGTTATTTTGGTACTGGGTTGCAGCACACAGGTGGCACCTAGTCTTAGGGCTGTGAGGATCCCGCCATGGCCTGAGCTCAGTCACTATTACCAGCTTCACCAGAGAAAGACAGGAAGTGGAGAAGTCCAGGCTAACATGAGTTTCCCAGAGAAACACAACTTATTTTAATGTCAAACCTGTTAAACTAAATTATGATCCATTTGAGAGAAGGCAGGTCAGATGACTAAAACTAACCGTTTATTAAGTTTTGAAGAATGGAAGTGGCTATATGGTTTTATAACATGATCCCTTGGAAAATTAAAATGAAAGTATGTTAACTTCCTATGGCTTTAAATGGTGTGTCTTGCTTGTAATGTTGGACACTGGACTCCTCTAGAGCCTTCTTAAGTACGAGAGCTGAGTTTTCTGTGTTTATTTAGGTTTCGAGAACTGCTATTTATTACTCCGATACTGCGTGTTTTCATTCCAGAGGAGTGTGATTGTTAATTTGTTATTGCGAGTTCCTTAAGGAGTCAAAACATCCAGAGAAAAGCATGAACTACACACAGCAATAAAGGCTAGAAAATGTCTCAACAACATGGAAATGACTCACTGCTAAAGACATGGGGGATTAAGAAACACTCTCCCATTCAATTCAGGGTAAATTTGTTCAGATGAAACAAACAAGAAAAAGAGCTAAATCCAGTTTTTGAATCAGAAACCGAATTTAGAAAAACATCTTGGTTGAAATGCCCTGTGAAAATAGTTTTAAAGTATTTCTCTTCCTTCCTCTCATCAGTAAGGTCAATAATCACTTGCACTCATTGTGCATATTTGGCCCAGTAGCTACTCCCACATTCTCACATTCAACAATATTTATGCCCAGATAAGGGAGAGAATCATCCTTTCACAAGCTGACTATGTTTATTCCAACATTTTCCTGCACCATTTTAAAGGAAGAGAAAAAAAGCATCAAAAGAAAGCTTAAGCGCTCCTAAGGGAAAAGACTCAATACATACAGACCTTTTTAATCAATTCAGATCCAAGTACACAAGGAACAAGTGCATATGGGCAGGAACGACTGGTAAATATTTGCTAAATAAAGGCAGCTGATATTTCTCTGCCCGCTTTGCCCCTAGCCCTCTGACTCCTCCTCCCCACAATACCCACATAATTTTCCTTTTGGCCATAATATAGAACTCAATCACCATATTAAGATGAAGCCCTAGAAAGTAGCTTCTTATACCCTGTGAACTGTAAGAGGGAGGGGTTCCAGCCGGGCACAGTGGCTCATGCCTGTAATCCCAGCACTTTGGGAGGCCAAGGCAGGCGGATCACCTGAGGTCAGGAGTTCAAGACCAGCCTGGCCAACATGGCAAAACCCCATCTCTACTAAAATACAAAAATTAGCTGGGCGTGGTGGCGTGTGCCTGTAATCCCAGCTACACAGGTGGCTGAGGCAAGAGAATCGCTGGAACCCGGGGGAGCAGAGGCTGCAGTGAGTCAAGATTGCATCACTGCACTCCAGTCTGGGTGGCAGAGCAAGACTCTGTCTCAAAAAAAAAAAAAAAAAGGGAAGGGTTCCCAGTTCTGCCCACTAACATTAAGAGATTTTCATATGTATAATATCTTAGTGTCACTGCTAAACTAAAACACTAAGGTAGAACTTCTCTTCGTAGATGATACCAATTATCATTTTAAAATGCAAATTACTAAGACCTCTTGCACCCAATTATGTATGACATAGAATAATTTCTTGGCCGGGCCCGGTAGCTCACACCTATAGTCCCAGCACTTTGGGAGGCCGAGGCGGGTGGATCACTTGAGGTCAGGAGTTCAAGA